>NC_000013.11:72650530-72802045 GCF_000001405.40 Homo sapiens | reverse complement strand
ATACTGTATTCTTACAATAAAAGCTAGAGAAAACATTTTTTAAAAATCCTAAGAAAATACATTTACATAACTGTACTGTATTATGGATGCTCTAAGTTTTACATAATTTGTTTACAAAATTAATGGTCTCTCCAAAATGGTAGGCAACCCATTAACTTTTTCTTACAATGTCATAAATTTTCTCTGCTGCTTGAGAGCTCTTCCAGCATCACTGGTGACACTTCATATGGTTCCCATGGTGTTATTCAAGGCTTACAGTTCTGCACTAAACATGATGAAAAATAATATGCCAGAACTGCGAGAAATCACTTTTTATTGTGATTCACATTTTACTGGAGAACTGCTCATGTGGGGATGATTAGCATCATACAGCGTTTTAAGCAGATATCCCAAACACTTGAGTTTACCAGAATAGCCAGGAGGAGGCTAAGAAATTATTACAGTAGTAAAGTATGTACTACAGCTAATTTTATGCAGTTATGATTTAATACTGCATCTTTACGTTTGTTTACATTTCTCTCTACTGAAAATAGCACCATGTAAGGTCTGTGTATGCATGCTTTGATAAATTTTAACTTTTGATAATAGATTTGTGTACATTTTATGGTAGTAAATGATAAAATATAGTACCTACATATATTTTATGCATTCATTACATAACTTTTTCTTGATTTTTTCTATATTTCTAGGCTACATAGTTCATCTGCGAGTGTCACAAACCTCCAAAAAATTTTCCAGTATATCTACTGAAAAAAAAAATCTATGTGTAAATAAACCTACACAGTTCAAACCCATGTTGTTCAACAGTCAACTGTACATGTCAGATCATGTCAGACCTCTTTCCAAAATCCTGCAACTTTTCATTTCACTTAAGGTTAAAATCAAAGTCTGTATGATGACCTCAACAGACTCATTACCTCTCTGATCTTAACTACAACTATCCTCCTCCACCCTTCAAGCATACCAGTCATATTGCCCTCCTCACTGTTCCACAAATACCAAAGTACCCCCCTGCCTTTGCATTGGCTGTTCTTGCTACCTAGAAGCTCTTCCCTGAGCTGTCTCAAGGAAGACAGCCTTGTTCTCTCTCTCACTTCCTCAAGGCTTTGTAAACTTCTAAGCTGTTTAATGAGACCTACTAGCCAACCTTACAGAATTCTGACAATGCTCTCTTCCCTGCTCTCCATATAGCACTCAATTCACCTTATCTTGAACTATTTTTTTCTTTTTTCTATTACAATTATCAACTTTTGTCACACTACATGATTTGCTATTGTTTTCCCTTTTAAAATACAATATACATCTCACAGATATCCTTTAAAAATATAAACTCCATGATGGCAGGGATTACTGTTTTGTTTAACAAGGTATCCCAAGTACCAAGAATAATGCATGCCGTATATAGTAAATGCAGGATACACATTTATTGAATGAATTTCATTCTTTATAATATGACCACGTGTGGTAGGTGTTACATGTTATCGTCCCTATTTTACGGACGGAGAAGCTGTTAAGATAGGAGACAGACTGTTTTTTATCCAAGATCATCACATTGTTATCAAGTCGCAGAGATGAGAAACTATGTCTTTTAATTCCTCAAATAAATAGCAGTAAATAATTTAATGAACCATTTCAAAAAATAAACTCCAGAATATGTGACATTTATTTGAATATTGAGTAGTACTATTTATTGTTTACTACATCCTGTTTGGCCAGGTGCAGTGGCTCACGCCTGTAATCCCAGCACTTTGGGAGGCCAAGGCAGGTGGATCTCTTGAGGCCAGGAGTTCCAGACCAGTCTGGCCAAAATGGCGAAATTCTATCTCTACTAAAAATACATAAATTAGCCAGGTGTGGTAGCGCATGCCTGTAAGCCCAGCTACTGGGGAGGCTAAAGCACGAGAATCACTTGAACGCAGGAGGTGGAGGTTGCAATGAGCAGACATGGCACCACTGCACTCCAGCTGGGGCGACTGAGCAAGGCTCTGTTTAAATAAATAAATAAAGCTGTTTAATGATATTGGTTTTGCTTTTTATTTAAAAATATTTACTTTTTTCCTAGTGTTTGGCAAGTTGACCTGTACCAGGTCCTTGACAGGGCAGAAAAACCACAAACTCTAAGAATGGCCTGAGGAATCTGTGTTCAAGAGAAATCATGCTGAGAAGTCCCAAATATTAAGGTTATTTTAAAAAGGGTGGCTTGATAAAAACAAGGATAGGGAGCTCCTCCAGCCCTCCTACTACACAGTAAGAAGTCCTTGAGGGATGCTGAGGTACCATAAGGTGTATAGAACCAACGCTAAGACCTTGTCTAACTGCCTCTTCCCCAATAACCCCTGTACCACCAAAACCATCCTGGGCATTTTACAGAAACAATAGAGTATAAATGATTTGCCCAAGGCTGCAAAATTAGAAAGTGGCCAAACAGTGGCCTTCTCTGTTCTCTACTATTTTGACTACAGTTGAATTTTTTTTTTAATTGAACTATCTTTCTAAATGTGCAAAACAGTTTACCTGCACAATATGACATGCTAGGAGAAGAAAAGAAAACAACTGAAGTTTGGAGTGGGGGCACATCTGCCCCTCTAATTGCTCCTGCTGATGTCACTGCTCCTCAGAGGAGAGGAAGCTAAGCCTTCTTATTTTGTCTGAAATATTGGTTCTATGGCAAGACTTAAGTAAATTATCTCTAAGACTAATAGTACAGCAAAGTAGAGCATTAAAAATACAAATTAAATTATAATTATTTATTTCTGGATAATATCATTGACAAAAACTGCCCTTAAAATAGGACATAAATGTTTGTATGCAACTTTGCTAAAATCATGTTTTTACTCTGAAACAGAAATATAGGCAATGCAATTAAATAAATGAACAAACAGTATTATTTTCTCCATTTGACAGAACAGGAAACATTAAATGACCTGGTCATGGTCACACAGTAAATGAGAGTGTCAAAATATCACCTAACGTTCTAATCCTAACCTGCTAGAAAGTAAACTCTAGAAGGGCAGGCATTGCCTCTCTTGGGTTCACTGCCAGCACCTAGCACAGCACCATGCACACCACTGGGGTTAATGCTAGTATCAGTACACATGCTCAGAATAAATATTATGAGAGTTAACTGCACTTCACAAAGAAGCCACGTAAGTAATAAATGGACAGTAGCTCCATCTCATATCACGAACAAGGCTAACTTGTAATGAAGAACTGCAGCAGCCCCCATTTGTAAACTAGAAGTGTTTTCCTTTTAGAATAACGAAATATTTGAAGAAAAACAGCCACCCATTTCCAACTGTTACATGGTAGAATGAATCAATCTACCATTATTTTTTTGTTAGTAGACTATAACTACAAGATAGTATTCTAGGATATCTGGTCAATAATACAACCAAGTTAATGATTAGTCCACCCTTCTATATAAATGTTGATTTATGATTACTATATTCATCGTCTAGGCTGAGATAATTTTGAAAATAAAGGGGTGCTATTAATATTTATTCACAGGAATAATGGCAACAGTCTTAGGCAAACCAGAACCTACGAGTCAACTTAGTTCAAAGTAAAAATATTCTCCTTTTCTTCTTTCTTATGGCACCTGCAAGAGATCCCCTGCATAGCTTGGCCTACATTTCTTGTTTCTTGCTTAAATTTCCTGACAAAGTGATGTTAAAAATAGAGACAAATTACTAAATAAATACATGCATATGCGTCATCTAAGGATACACAGCAATTTTCAGATATAGCCCATATTAGGATTTCAAAAGCAGTTGATTATAAAATTGACTTGCAACAATAAAAGCTCAACTATAGGATACGTCAATAACACAGACTTGTCTTGTCAATGTTTAAGATGACTACTTCCAATTTAACCTCCTTCCCATTATTGAACTGTAGCAGTCACCATCCCATAGTCCCATTTTTCAATCACTGACTTTTATATGCCTTATCACAAATCCTGAGGGACTCTACAGAAAAAGCCGAAGCTTCTTCCCACCAGCAATCAAAACCATACAAACCTCTGTCAGCTGCTTCAGTTGGTTTTTGTTTGTACTTAATTCTTCTGCTAGGATATTCTTTTTCACTTGTAGTTCACAGATTTCCTTTCTTAATGGATTCACTAGCTCATAGAAGCGAACCTTGAAAAAAATTAAATTAATAAGCAGTCTTAAATCCAAATTACAATTAAAATTTGTAATTTGTAGTGCTCTCACTTATCAGTAATAAAGATAAATATTTACAAAACTACAACAAGACAGTCATTAATGGACCCTAGCCACTAATACTTTCTATCAAGCCTTAATGTTCAATTAACTTCCCTCAAGGGCCAGATGATTTATAACCTCTTACCTTTGACAGTATTTCCTCCCTTCTACTGACACTCCATTACTACTCATCTACTACTGCTCACTCCACACTAGGTGCTTGTAAACTTCTGGAACATATCACAAATGTTCAGGAGTCTTGCTCTTGCTGTTTCTTCTGCTAGAGAAGTTCTTCCCCCATATAAATGCATGGCTCATGCCTTGTCTCCCTATAGGTCTCTGACCAAATATTACCTTGTTAGTAAAGCCCTCCCTGATTTCTTTACCTAATTTTAAGTAGCACTCCCTATTTTTCACCCCTGCTCTTTTCTCTGTAGCACCTTTGACAAACAGATATTCTACATATTTAATTTTTAAGTTATTGCCTGTGTTGCTCCACTTTCACAACCTGAGGGCAGGGATTTTTGTCTGGTTTATACACCGCTGTATTTCCAATGCCTAAATATATGATAAGCACTCAATAAATACTTGATGAAGAGGTAAAGTGTATTCTTTATTTTCATCCCAGGCTCTTGGCAAAGCTTTATTTACTGCTGTCCCTACAGTGGAAGTCTAATCAGAATGAATCAAGAGGTATCTTTCACATCATTACTTCCATTTAGTTCAGGTCTCTCTTTCCACTCATACTTGTCTCAGAGAAATTTTCCTACCCTAGCTCAGTAAAGTGTTCCATCTGACAAGGTCCCATAAAACTAAGAAATCATCACAGCAAATTAGGAGAGAGTAATTAGGGGCTATCATATAGGCATGCAATCTGAAACTCCTTAACATATGACGGTATTACAAGAATACCATTATTTGGTAAGAGGCAAATCTTAATACTAGCCCTCAACAAAAAGAATCTGCATATAATTAATTAGTTAAGGATAATATTGTCTGTGAAAACAAAAGATGTAAGAAGGAATATTAAGAAAACAAACAGCAAAAATATGTGTAACTGCCACCAGTGTGATACTTTATATCTACTGTAAATGAAGCCTCAAAAACAGAATTTGAGATATTTAATTTGTTTTGGACAGTATACTTTGGACAGAAAAGCTGTATTTGAGCCTTTTAAAAAAAAAAAAAAAACAGCTGAACAAAAAAGTAACTTCATTTTATCAGACATCACTAATCTGCAAATCTTTTCCCAATGAGAACCAAGAATAGCAACCACCACTCCAGCAAAAACAATAGACAACATTTTTATGTGTTTACTATCTTCTAAGCACTATGCTCACAAGCATTTTACATACATAGTTATAGTCTTTACAATTATCCCCAATAGAAACGCACCGTTACTATTAACCCTTTTTAGGGATTAAAAAATTCAAGCCTCTCAGGGTAAAATGACATCTACATATTAAAAAGCAGCAGTTCTCAACATATGGTTTTGGGACTCCTGGACTCTGCCCCACTCGCCACTCTGAGATCCTTTCAGGGAATTCACAAGATCAAAACGACTTTCCTAGTAATTATTAAGATTTTTTTTCCCCGTTTCATTCTCATTCTCTCATGACTGTTCAGTGGAGTTTGCCAGTGGCTACATGACATATGACATTATCACTCTTAAGGCCAATGGAATTGTGTGCTTATTCTTGTGTTTAAAAAAGTTGTTAGTTTAAAATTCTAGTATGGTAAATATTAATAGATACAGCCCATATAAACAAACACTCATTGGGGTCCTCAATAACTTTTAGAATGTAAATGAATGCTGACACCAAAATATTTGAGACCACTGCCATAGATTAATCCTAGGTGTTCTAGATTTGTGTAACCAGCACTGCAATCAAGATCTTGCGCCAATCTCTCACCACAAAGTTCTTTCTCATCCTATCCCTTTATAACCACGCTGACTCCTCTCTCCCACTATCCCCAACCAACCCCTGGCAACAACTACTCTGTTGTTTATAATTTTTCATTTTGAGAATGTAAGAAACCACCAGTTTACGATAATTCATTTCTATGGACTATGCAGTCATTAACTTCAGAAACCTATTTATTGCTTGACTTTGGAGATCAATGGTCATGATCCTTTAAAATTTGGATCTCAACACCATTCACCATCCATAGCCATAAAATAATGTATCAATTGGGTACTTCAAAAGTAATTGCTACTATATAAATGGTAAATTTTAGTCTGAAAATATATGTCATAGTTAAAAATAGATATAAGATACTTACAGATACATATTCAGGAATAGAAAGCTGATCTTCAGGAAAAGCTTTTAATTTAATATATTGCTCTTCTGTCAACTCAAAGTCACGCAGGTTTCGACGAACATCTCCAGCTTTTTCTCTTAGCTGAAGATTTGTCTCTTCTAGTTGTTTCTGTCTCAACAAAATGGTTTCCATTTCTTGTTTCATTAATTCTTGATATTTGCTACATTAGAAGAGAATTTATGGCAGGCTTTAAAAAAGTATTTGAGATCTAATTTTCTCACAGTTTCCTATTTATATCAACATAAAGTTAGGAAATCAGAAACCTGACAGTATTATTTACTTACTCCAGCTAAATACTTATTTACTCATATTAATCAGTTAAATATGAAATGACAATTCCATACTAATTATTAAATGTGTAACCATATAAATTATTAAACAGAGAATTGATATTCTTAAAGAATAATTTTAGAAATTCAAATTATAAAATTATATATTTCTTCTGCTTAAGGTTTAATGTTAAACATCAAGGACTCTACTTATTAAAGTAATTTTCATTTCCCTTTTATCCTGATACTTCAAGGATATCTCTTTAAGATGGTAACACTGAACCACCATAAGGTATTCACTCAACCAATGAGGTAATGAAAACAGTAATCTGCACATACTCATCATTCTCAAAGAATACATGTAGCAGACATTATTGTTAGTTGCCTACTGAAAGATTCTGATCAGGAAGGGACAATCTGATGTTATTAGTCTGCTCTCATGCTACTAATAAAGACATACCCAAGACTGGGTAATTTATAAAGGAAAGAGGTTTACTGGACTCAGACTTCCACATGGCAGGGGAGGCCTCACAATCATGGCGGAAGGCAAAAGAGAAGCAAAGGCATGTCTTACATGGTGGCAGACAAGAGTGCTTGTGCAGGGGAACTCCCATTTATAAAACCATCAGATCTTGTGAGACTTATTCACTATCATGAGAACAGCATGGGAAAGACCACCTCCATGATTCAGTTACCTCCCATCAGGTCCCTCCCATGACATGTAGGAATTATGGGAGCTATAATTCAAGATGAGATTTGGGTGGGGACACAGCCAAATCATATTACTGATTTTCCCCTTCCCTACTATATCAATCCCATTAACAGACACACATGCTGTTATTTCAATCTTACAACAAATGAACAAACAAAACCACAACTCTGGACTTCACTGCACTTCCCCCTTTGTTAGCCACCCCTTTGGAGCAAGCTTGCTCAAAAGTTGTCTATAATTATTGTCTCCAAATCCTTTCCTCTTAAACCCATGGCGATCATATTTTTACTGTCTCCAATGAAATCTCAATGACATCTAAATTGCAAATGATCAATTCTTAGTTCTTTTCCTCCATGATCTAATGATAGAGCTTGACACAAGTCACTTTCTTTCCTTGATACATTTTCATCACCTGGCTTCCAAGACATCATACTGTTCATTTTTCTTCTATTTTACTGTGGTTCCTTCTCAGTCTCCTTTTCTGCTTTGTCTTAATGTTGGAGTACTTGGTCCTCTTCTGTCTGTACGCACTCCTTGGGGAATTCATCTAGTCTCATGACTTGAATACTGTCTATAGCCTAATGATCCCCAGATTTGTACCTCTACACGAGACTTTTCGTATACCTCCACATGGATTTCTAACTAGAAAACTCCAACTTAACATGTCCCAAATTGAACTCAGGCTTTTTACTCACAAAACCTTTGCTACCATGATTTCTTTCTTCTTAGCTGACAGAAATTCCATTTTTTCATTTGTTCAGGCCAAAACTTTTGATGTAATCCTTGACTCCCCTTTTTCTCTTAAGCCCCACATTGAATCCATCAGCCCTCCAAAAAATATTCAGAATCCAACCATTTTTTATGACCATCAGCTATCAAGAGTTTTATTACAATAGACTCGTGACTGCCCTCTCAGCAGCATCATTCAATCTGATATATGTCTTACAGAATTAGCATAGAAGACCTATTATCAAATGCAGTGGTTCTCAAAGTATTGTTTCTGGACCAGCAGCATCTGCATCACCTGCGAACCCAGTAAAAATGCACATTCTCAGGACCCCACCCCCACAAGTCAGAAACTCTGAGGGTGGGATCCAGTAGGCTTCTTTAACAAGCCCTTCAACTGTTCCTGATACATGCTAAAGTTTGAGGTCCACTAATCTAGTGTGATAGTGGCTGATAAAAAGGTCCGATAATTTTTTACAATATCAGTTAAGTAGTAAAATCTTAAAAAGGGAAAATTTACCTGTTTTACACTTTTACCTGTAATTAAAACATAGAACTAAACATTCACATTTTTATATAGGATCCAGATATTTTGAATACAGAGGTATGATTTGATTTTGTGTAAATCATCATGTATGATTTCCAAGTTCAATTTCTTTACAATGGCATGAGATCCTAAAAGACATTTAGGAAGAAACCAATGAAGGTATCTTATATGGATTTCATGTTTGCCCTCAATCTTTAAACTTGTGTTGCTTATATTTAATTTCATAATTTTTTTAGTTCCTTTTATTGAATCGTTCCAAAGAATTTATTTCATTGTTTGTATTATTTTTAATTAAGTTACATAAGTATAATTGCCATAGGCATATTTAAGCATGATAAGCCCACAACTGAGCTAGAGAAAGTACACAGGAATAATAGAAAGTACTTCAGGCCAGGAAAGTCCAATGGGTCATGAGAATCAATCAATATGTTGCGTAAAAGAAGAAAGGTTAATGGTGGTCAGTTTAGAGAGCTTCCTTTATCATATATGGTTTACACTGACCAATGTTTGTTGAATGAATGTTGAATTTTGACTTTCTGTATTTTATGTACCATATCAAGTATCCTACTTTTTTTGTGGTCTAGGTGTAAAAATTATTGCTATCTCTGACTTAAAATTTCTCTATTTTAGCTTACAGTCACAAACATGAACAGGCAATAAAATTACTTTTAATTGCTAAATAGATGTTGTTTTTTTTTTAAAAAAAACTTTTCTTACCTGGCATCTTTCTGTTGAAAAGCCAATTGGTTGTCTAATCTCAATGTTAGTAGCTGCTTCTGGTGAAGTGCATCATTAAGTTTCTCCTCCAATTCTTCAATCTTCGTAAAGAGAAAAAGATAAATTATATGATTTGTCATAAAGAAAAACTTTCAGTTTCATAATAAACATATTTTAAAAACACTTGAAAGAAACAGGCTAAAAATGGATAGAGGGACCAGGCACAGGGGCTCACGCCTATAATTCCAGCACTTTGGAAGGCCAAGTGCTGTTGCCCAGGCTAGAGTGCAGTGGCGCAACCTTGGCTCACTGCCACCTCCTCCTGCCAGGTTCAAGTGATTCTACTGCCCCAGCCTCCTGAGTAGCTGGGATTACAGCCAAGTGCCACCACACCCGGTTAATTTTTGTATTTTTAGTAGAGACAGGGTTTCACCATGTTGGTCAGGGTGTTCTTGAACTCCTGACCTCAAGTGATCAGTCCACCTTGCCCTCCCAAAATGCTGGGATTACAGGCATGAGCCACCGCGCCTGGCCTCCTGCCTCCAGTTTTGCCAACCTCCAAATTTATATTCCTCTATCTTACCTTTAAAAAATGCTATCAAAAATTTATTTTCAGCTGGGTGCGGTGGCTCACGCCTGTAATCCCAGCACTTTGGGAGGCCGAGGCGGGCAGACAACTTGAGGTCGGGAGTTCAAGATAAGCCTGGCCAGCATGGTGAAACTCCATCTTTACTAAAAAATACAAAAATTAGCCAGGCATGGTGGCGGGCGCCTGTAGTCACAGCTACTCAGGAGGCTGAGGCAGGAGAATCACTTGAACCTGGAAGGCGGAGGCTGCAGTAAGCCAAGATTGCACCACTGTACTCCAGCCTGGGAGACAGAGCGAGACTCCGTCTCAAAAAAAAAAAAATTATTTTCCTAGTTTTACATTCTTCAGAGGATCCTCACTGTCCTCAGAATAAATTCTAAACACTGTGGCATAATACAGTGGTATTTCTTGATCTAGCCAACTACTTTTGTCATTAGCTTAAAAGGAAACTCCATTTCAGCCAATATTAAGTGCTTGCCATCCCCCAAGTATGCTGTGCTTTCTCAAGCACTTGGATTTTGCTCTTAGTCTATTTAGAAAATTCTTTATTCCCTTTGCTTTAACCAAGACGATTCCTGTTTGCCCCTTAAAATACATGAATTTCAGGCAGGGCGTGGTGATTCACACCTGTAATCCCAGCACTTTGGGAGGATGAGGCGGGTGTATCACAAGGTCAGGAGATGGAGACCATACTGGCTAACATAGTAAAACTCTGTCTCTACTAAAAATACAAAAAATTAGCCGGGTGTGGTGGCATGTGCCTGTAGTCCCAGCTACTCGGGAGGCTGAGGCAGGAGAATCGCGTGAACCCGGGAGGCGGAGGTTGCAGTGAGCTGAGATCATGCCACTGCACTCCAGCCTGGGCGACAGAGTGAGACTCCATCTAAAACAAACAAACAAACAAACAAACAAACAAACAAAAATACATGAATTTCACAGCCAATCCATAACATATGCAAGTAAATCCCTCCTCTTGCATCGTCAAGTCCCTCTTCTCTACTGAATCATTCTATCATCAAGCAAATGGTCCCTTGATCACATCATTCTCTTTGCTATAGCACCATTTCTCTGTTGGTCTTCAGAGCAAAACTTCAATATAGTTTTTGCCCCATACTATTCCAGTGAAACTATTCTTGTTAAAGTCCATAATGTCCTGTGCATTGTTTTTTTCTGCCTATTTATCTTATTTGACAGCATGACTTGATACAGCTAACCACTTCATTCTCTTTTAGCTTCCATGATACTCTTCTCTAGTTTTCTTAACTCACTAAATACTCTTAAGCTTTCTAGGCTCCTCAGCTGGACTACCCCTTTGACTTACTTTATAGCCCTCTGTTCTCCCTAGGAAATACCATACAATCCCATGGCTTTAGGTGCCACCTATATGCTGATTTATCTATCTATCTATCTATCTATCTATCTATCTATCTATCTATCTATCTATCTATGTGTGTGTGTGATCTATCTATAAGGGTGTGTGTGATCTATCTATAAGTGTGTGTGTGTGTGTGTGTGTGTGTGTGTGTGTGTGTGTGTGATGGACTCCTCCTAAACTCTAACTGACAATTACATTTAGGAATCTATAAGTTACACCTTCAAAACTGAACTTATTAATATATTTTACCTCCCAGATCAGTTTTCTCCCAGCCTTCCATTCTTATAAATGGCCCCAGTTAAATAAGCCAAAAACTTAGGAATGTAACTCTTCTGTTTCTGTCTTGTCTGCCCTTAGTCTATTATTTTAGTGCCATTTTGAATACAGAAATCAGGACATGTAACTCTTAACTGCTAAACTTTGCCAATAGCTTTTCTGACTACATAGTCTAAAGCAAGAATTAAAAAATGGTGATGGGCTAAATCCAGCCCATAAGAAAAATCTGATAGAGCATAGGTGGCCTACAAAGCATAAAATATTTTCTGTCTTGGCCATAAGAAGGGGGACCTCTGTCATATCCATTGGCATATATCCAGCAACATCTCAATAAATAAATCAATATAAAATGTAAAATAAACACATTCCTTATAATTACTGTTTCCCAAATCAAGAATACTGTTACATGTTGAGCATCCCAAACCCTAAAATCTGAAATTCAAAATGCTCTGAAGTCTGAAACTTTTTGAGAGTCACTATGACACTCAAAGGAAATGCTCAGTTGACCCTTTTGGATTTCAGACTTTCAGATCTGGGATGCTCAACTGGTCTAACACAAATATTCCCAAATTAAAAAAAAAATCAAAAATCTGAAATATTTCTGGTCCCAAGCATTTTAGATAAGAAACAACCTGTATCACGAGGAAAAAAAAAACATTTTTTTCAGGGTTTCAATGTTTATAATTTCAATTAACTTCTAAATTGAGTCTCTTAACTCAAGGACAAGCTGGGAAATGTATTCATTTCCCAGGTAATAAGGAACCCACAGATCTCTAATGAGAGATAAATAAAAAGAGTTTGGGGCATTTAAAAATTTTAAAGAGCTCAATTCTGTGGCTCAGGCTGTAAACCCAGCACTTTGGGGGGCCAAGGTGGGAGGATTGCTTGAAGCCAGGAGTTTGAGACTAGCCTGGACAACATAGTGAGACCCTGTTTCTACAAAAAAATTAAAAAAATTAGCTGGGTGTGGTGGTACACGCCTGTAGTCTCAGCTGCTCAAGAGGCTGAGATGAGAGGATTGCTTGAGCCCAGTAATTTGAGGCTGCAGAGAGCTGTGATCAAGCCACTGCACTCCAGCCTGGGCAAGAGAGTGAGACCCTGTCTAAAAATTTGAAAGGCAAGAACAGAGAAGAGGAAAGGAATAAAGAAGTACAGTAAGGAAGGGAATCTAGGCAGCAATAGATGGAAATAAAAGTGTAAAGCTAACAATGCTCTACTATCAGGAAGTTTGGCCTGAATAGCTACTCTTCTGAGTAGCTTTTCTACATTCTTTCAGTTAACAAGCAGCTGAGTGGGAAGTGCTTTTAAAGTGTTCTTGGACCTGCTTGTTCCTGTTTTTAGACATGGAGAATTCAAATCAATACGGCCAAGACTATTCCTAGTAACAAACTATAATAAAGCCATGTATCCATAACCATTTGTATTGGTGCCACAATGGAGTGGGACATGTTAGATTCAAATATTTTCTAACTAAAAAAAGATTTTGATGGGTAGAAGAAAAAACTTACTTGCCTCCCAACATCAAACCTTCCCTTCTTTCTGACATACTCTGGTTTTTATTAGTAACAACATGTCCAGTTAGCTTCCCATCCCTTGTAGGTAGGGGTGGTCATGCTATACAATGTTAGTCAATTGAGGCCACTGGCTTGAACTTCTGGAAGAACTCTTTAAAGAGGACTGACTCATTTGGCACATGCCCCCTTTTCCACTATCCTTCTCCTTATTACCACCTTTTACATGTACACAATACTGGAGGCAGATAAGCTATCTTATGATTTCAGGTGAAAAGCATATGTTGAAAATAGCTAAGGTTAAAAGGAGCCTGGGTTCCTAATGCGATCAAGGAGTAATCACTTGAGGTCTACTAAAATACCTATTTTTGGATTTTTGTTATACCAAAGAAACAAAATCCTTCTCTTGCTTAAGCCATGGTTTCCAGGTCTCTGTTACCAGAAACCACCATTTTTCAAGTCTCTGGTATTAACTGCTGAACTTAATCCTTGAAACCCTGGGCAGTTGGTTCAATCTCTTTCCAAAATAGAAATACCTATAATATTTATTAACAGTTGACTATTCAGGACTACTTAAATGCTTCCAATGACAGGAAGCTCAGAAACTTAAGATCAGGCCATTTCAATGTTAATAGCAATAACAGGCTTACACTGAGCAGAAATCTACCTTTCCTGTGACTTCCAACCATTATCATGGAGCTATAGTCTAGTGAGGAAAATTTATTTTTCATAACGTTAGCATACGATGCTCAATAAGCTTTGGAGAATGAATGACCAATTAAAAATACCTTTCTTTCAAGACCTAGGCTTTAAGTTTCCTGCCCAGGCTAAAAAGTGTATGGCATGGCTGGGTGCAGTGGCTTCACACCTGCACTTTGGGAGGCTGAAATGGGTGGATTGCTTGAGGCCAGGAGTTCGAGACCAGCCTGGCCAACATAGTGAAACCCCCATCTCTACCAAAAATACAAAACTTAGCTGGGCGTTGTGGCACGGGCCTACAGTCCCAGCTACTCGGGAGGCTGAGGCACAAGAATCGCTTGAACACAGGAAGTGAAGGTTGTAGTGAGCTGAGATCATGCCACTGCACTCCAGCCTGGGCAACAGAGTGAGACTCTGTCTCAAAAAAATTAAAAGAAAAAAAAAGTATATGGCAGCACTACCAAATTGAGCCCCTTTCTTCTTCACTTAAAAATTCAGAGAGGATGCTACCAGATAGATTTGAATCAAATACCGCGTGGTGTTACCAGATCCATCAGGCTTTTGGGGACCCTGTTCATTTCAAAATACCCCATGAACCTTCTTTGCTTTCTTCTAGAGCTGGACCTCATTGAAACACCAAGAAAACAAACAGCTCTAACACCAGGAGTCCAATATACTTCTGAGTCCTCACAATCGACCAGAGGGACAAAATTCAGTGGGGTGTACTAGCTTTAGAATCACTGCTCACAAGAAACAGTGTAGCACTTTGTTCATCTGGAGTGCTTCACACATAAAGACAAAAATAAAGACATAACTAAACATATAATAACACATACAAATAAAGGTGTTATTTTAAAACATATAAAGAAATATGTCACATACCAATTTATACATAAACAAATAAGTGAAAAAATATATATCATGTGTGTAGTGCTGTTTGCCTGTCTAAGGTGTTATTCCCAGGGCATGTAAGAAGTAAACATATATATACACACATACACACATTAACATACATATACATATTCTTTAATAAAAATATTTTTTAAATATTCTTTCATCAACTCCAGACTCACACTTTCTCACATTTTAACATCTCTAAAATTGGAATGCATTTTACAATCTAAGGCACTTAACAATTCAACTGGAAGTGTTTAACCTTAGCAATGTATGTAATGATGCATCTTACAACAGAGGTGCTTTAGGTTCAATAAATTATGGAAGGCTAACTCTACAATAGGTATTTCTTCATATATTTGAGAGCAAACATCTTATTCCTAAAGAGTCTTCAAGCAGAGAATCCTGAGTGCTCGTATGATAGAGAAAAAAACTCTACTAATATACAGCAGGGCAGCTATTTTGGAGATAACCTGGCAGTACACTTAGTTAAATGAAGGAGACATTTATATATGTCAAAGACATGCTCACAGAGGTCCAGAAGAGAAATGTCTAATGCTGCATGTGTTGCAAGGAGCTGGAGGCAATCTGGATGCCTAGCAATGTAGGAGTAGAAAGACTGGTAGACGCACACAAAGAATTACATAAGAGTTGGAAGCAAAGGACTAGATGTATACAAAGTAATAGATAACTTCAAAAACAGTGCTGAGTAGGAAAAAAGAGATGAGAACTAAAACAAAGCATATAATTTACATTTCTGTAAAGTTAAAAGATACACATTCTCAAGAATACATGTAAACAAAACATTAAAATGTTTGCATTAAGAAATGGAATGAGCTATAGGAATGAAAAGAATAAATACATTAGAAAAACAGCAGCCTTTCAGGGATCAATGATGATTATGTGTCAAACTCAGGAACACGACTATTGCAATCTTCTACATTTTCAGTCAAACTAGAAAACCACAACAAAAACTACACTAAGCACCATGGAAGTAGAAAAATAATAATATTGTGCTGAGTAAGTATAGCTACAAATAAAATAATATGTAAATAATAAGTTTATTATTAGTATACACCAAGCATCTATGAGCTTACATACATTGATTAATCCTCCCGATAATTCCACGGAATAAATACTATTATCATTTTATAGGAAATCACGGAATAAAAACATTAAGGAATTTAGTAAGGCTGGAATTCAAAACCCAAACTGTGTGCATCTAGAACTGTAATTTGGATTTGTTACACTAGAGAGCCTGTCATGAATCAACCAACATTTCTATAATATAAAGCTTACACCTAAAAAGAAGCAAAGCCATTGACAACCAAGGACAATGCAAGTTGAAAACAAATAATACAAGAGGTGGCTGAACAAAATGTAAGTCTGGATATGGTATACAGGTGGCACTTAAAAAAATACTTGTTGACTGAGTGGGTGAATTAATGAATGGGAGATAACCTCAGGTTTCTTCAATGAGTTGCACTAAGGTCTGGAGAGGTGAAGGTAGATGGAGTTCATGTGAAATGCAAAAAGAGTAAGGGAATAGGGATGGGAAACCACTGGATGCATGGATAAACTACCAAGTGACCTAGACTAGGTAGGTGACTGTATAGGGTACCTAAAAGAAAGTGTTTGGAGCTTCACTTGTGTAGAGTATAGGCTTTAGACTTCCTAGGTTTGAATCCTATCTGGCTCTATCACTTTCATCTGAATGGCCTTGGGTATGCTATTAACCACCTAGTGGCTTTGTTTAATCAGAGCAAAATGGGGTTCAGTCATTCATTTAAGAAATAGCTGGGCACTTAATTTGTGTCAGGCACCGTTCTAAGTGCTGGAAATACAACCATGAATACAAAAACATCCCCGTCCTCATGGACCTCATAGTCTATTCACAGACAAATAACAAACAAATTCAGTCCGATGGCCATAAAAGGCACAGAAAATGAAAGGGATGAAACAGATAAGGATGCTATGTTAGTTGAAAACAACAACGGCTAATACGTCTTGTGTGCTTATTTTTTTTTCTCCCCTCAAAATTTGTATATTGAAACCTAATCACCAATGTGAGTAGCAGGAAGTTGGGGCCTTTGGGGTGATTAGGTTATAAGGGTAGAACCCTCACTGTTGGGATTGGTGCCCTTATAAAAGTGATCCCAGAGAGCTAGCTGGGCATGGTGGGGAGCACTTGTAATCCCAGCTACGTGGGAGACTGAGGCAGGAGAATTGCTTGAACCCAAGAGGTGGAGGTTGCAGTGAGCCAAGATTGTGCCACTGAACTCCAGCCTGGGTGACAGAGCAAGACTGTCTCCAACAACAACAACAAAAAACAACAAAATACCTCATATGTTAGATTTTTTAAATTGAGCCTACAAAAGTAATTTATCCATATCTACGTTTAAATCACTCCATATTTCAATACTTAAATTATTATTATTATTTTTTTGAGATAGGGTCTCACTCTGTTACCCAGGCTGGAGTGCAGTGGTACGATCTCAGCTCACTGCAATGTCTGCCCCCGGATTCAAGTGATTCTCCCGCCTCAGCCTCGGAAGTAGCTGGGCCTGCAGGCGCAGCACCACTACGCGGGGCTATTTTATTTTTTTAGTAGCAAGGGTGGTCTCACCATGTTGCTCAGGGTAGTCTCGAACTCCTGAGCTTGGAGCAATCCACTGGCCTCAGCATCCAAAGTGCTGGAATTACAGGTGTGAGCCACCGCACTTGGCCTCCAATTATTATTATTATTATTATTACTAGTTTTTGAGAGTCTTGCTGTGTTGCCCAGGCTGGAGTGCAGTGGCACGATTGTGGCTCACTGCAAACTCTGCCTCCTGGGTTCAAGCAATTCTCCTGCCTCAGCCTCCCGAGCAGCTGGGATTACAGGCACCCACCATCATGGCTGGCTAATTTTTTTTTTTTTTTTTTTTTAAGTAGAGCTGGGGTTTCACAATGTTGGCCAGGTTGGTCTCAAACTCCTGACCTCAGGTGATCCCAACTGACAGATAAAACTGTGTGTATATGTCATGTACAACATAATGTTTTGAAGTATACGTACATTGTGAAATGGTTAACTCTAGCTAATTAAAAAATGTTTTACCTCACATAGTTATTTTAGTAATGAGAACACTTAACATCTGCTGTGTTTTTCAAAAACACAATGTTTTCCAAGATTACAATGTCATTAACTATAGCCACCATGCTGTCCAATAGATCTCTTGAATGTATTCCTCCTATTCAACTGTAATTATGTATCCTTTGACCAACATCTCCCCAACCCTCCTTCACCCCTAACCATGCCAGCCCTTGGTAACCACCATTCTATTCTCTACTTCTATGAACACCAAAATTATTTAAAGGCTGTACTTGTCAAGAAATATAAATGTATCATTTCAAGTTCAGATAATGTGTGTATTTAATTCTTATTTACCTGCCGTTTGAAGACAATAAAGCATATAGAACACAAAATTTAAACCTGATCTTACCTTTGTAAGATAATCCACTTTCAAATTGTCGATCATCATAGTTTTCTGGGATAGCTCAATTTTTAGTAACTGAATATTATGAAGTAGTTCTTTTCGTTCAATTAGCTGCCTGGTGATTCTGACTTTGCCCTCTCGCTCTTCTGATGAGGAAATATCATCCGTAGGAACTGTTGTTTCTAAACTAATATCTTCAGATTCCAGAGAACTAGAGATGTTCACTTTTTTTGACTCCTTTGAAATTTTTCGAGACATTTTTATTATTATGGATCAGTTTTCTTCTCTAATTTGATTTTAATATTCTGTAGGTTAAAAAACATTAATTCAAATGTACTATAAAATTAACTACAGAAATCATGGACTGTATTAAAGAGAGACTAAGGATTCCTTAAATAAATATTAGGCAATTTAGTGCATCCCAAATCTAGAACAGATTATTGCAGTTAAGTTAATGCTCAAATCAAACACATTAATTCCTAATATGAAGTCAGCCTTCGAGAAACTTAAAAAAACAGTTCCTGCGGGGAGGAATCTTACTTGGAGGAAACAAAGAAATGTACAAGATGAAGAAAAAAGCCCATTATAATCAAGAATGGCACCACTAAAACCAACACATGCTCAAAGATAACAGAAATCACGTCTGAGTTGGTCAGGGAAACGTTACACAGAGGTAGCACTTAGAATCTTTAAAGATTTGGACAGGCATGGTAAAAAGGAGAAATCATGCAGTTATTAATGATACGTAAGTGGAAGTAAAAAAACAAAGCCAAGTCTTGGAATAGTTACTCCTTTCACCGCCCCCCCAACACAAACACAAACACACACACACACACACACACACACACACACGCCCTTAACGATCAAGACTGGAAGGCCTTAAATGTCAAAATAGGGTTGGATTTTATTCTACAGGCAATGAGGCATCATTGAAGATGTTTTAAATAGGGAAAACGGGGACAAAAACATTTTTTATAGATAGCAGAATGAAAACAACAGGATATAAGAAAAATTCAAGAAATTCTAAATAGAACTTACTTCTAACTCTCTCATAAGAATGTTAGCAACTACCTTGTTTTAATACCTCATGATATAACAAATTATGCTATTAAATATTTCAGTTTTTCTAAACTGAATGATAAGGAAAGGTGTGTGGAGGGGAAACAGCGAGAACTATACTAAGATCGGCCTCCCTCCTTCTTTTTGAAGGGAAATAGGTAAGAAAAAGTGAATTCAAAGACAAATTCTCTCCTCGATTACAAAGGGCCCGAGACGGGGACTGCCTATACACTCGGCGTGAAAATTAAGCCCCAAACTTGGCAGCTCGGGGGATTCCTTGCCCCACGCGGGAAAGAAAGCGATGATAGTCGCAAGTTACCTCGAAAGTGTCAATTACTCCACACTGAAGCCTTGACCAGCAGCCAGTGCAGACACCGAGGGACCAAAGGCGTCTCCGGTCGGAAGCACAAGGTTGCAGGCCCTCAACAAGGGATTTCAAGGCAGGGGACCGTTAGGACCCGTAACCAAGACAACCATCTCCGCACCCGCAAGGAGGACAGAACCAGCACTCCCACAAGCCGCCGGAAGTCAACTCTCCCGGATGTTCCGAGGAGCGGAAAGCAACACACGTTGTGAGGTGGCGTCCAGAAGGAAGCCCCGCCTAGGCCACGGGCGGAAATGGCTCCTCGCCTTGCTTTGCCGCCCCTCCCCACTCTCGCCCAATCCCCGCGGCCGTCAGAGAGCCAACCAATGTTTATCTCGGCATTTTCCCGCGAGAAGTGTTACTAATATCCGGGAATGGAAAGGGAAGAACCTCCGGGGTTAGGCGTATTCTAGATTGACGCCTTTTGCTGGAAGAGCGCTGCTGGGGTTAGGATTCTGCGCGGCGAGGCAAGATGCTCAAGTCCAAGACGTTCTTAAAAAAGACCCGGGCGGGCGGCGTGATGAAGATCGTGCGCGAGCACTACCTGCGAGACGACATCGGCTGCGGTGCGCCCGGGTGCGCAGCGTGTGGAGGGGCGCACGAGGGGCCGGCCCTGGAGCCGCAGCCCCAGGACCCGGCGAGCAGCGTCTGCCCGCAACCGCACTACTTGCTGCCCGACACTAATGTGTTACTGCACCAGGTGCGTGGGCGGGCGAACCGCGGACAGCGCGGCCCCACGGGGACAAGGGGGTATGACAGGGAAACTGAGGCCCAGGGAGGCGGGTCTTTGGCAGTGTCACATACCTAGCGAAAGGGAAACCCCCTCGGGACCGAAGCTTCCTGTTCCCCAGGCCGAGGTTCTTTTCCTTGTGCTTTAAAAAATTTAGTTCTTGGAGTCGTAGTTCAGACACGTTATTTTTCTAACTCCTGGTGTCTCTTCTGCCTTAGATTGTAAGTGCCTGGAGGCCGGGGACCTGGGCTTCTGTGGCCTCCAGCCTGCGACTCCCAGGCAGCTTGTAAGTGCCTAGGAACAAAAAACTATGTGGGCCAACGTATTCCTTTATTAATACCCTTAATTCTACGAAGTCTTGTGATTGGTCTGTTTAAGTGTGCTTTTTTTAATAGATCTGAAGGGTTTAGTGACTATTGTCTCGTTTTCTATAGCCAAATAGCTTCTTGGCTTAACTTATTCAGTGTTTTTAAAACATAAAGTATTTATGCCCAACATAAAACAGGATTTTATGTTTGACAGAGCTATTTACAAATGAATATAGGAAAAATTAACTTTATCTTTCTTTAAGATTGATGTTCTTGAGGACCCTGCCATCAGGAATGTAATTGTGCTACAAACAGTTCTTCAAGAAGTGAGAAATCGCAGTGCCCCCGTATATAAACGCATCCGAGATGTGACTAATAACCAAGAGAAGCATTTCTATACTTTCACTAATGAGCACCATAGGTAGGAGGAATATTACGTTAAATATCAGAAAACCACAGGATTAGCAAAATTCGGGAGAGGGTTCCTGTGAGTAATTTATGACATTGTCAGAAGATAAGTGATAGATTTCATACCTTATTTAATTCTTACATGGCTGTGCAGAAGATAATGCTAAGTGGATCTCTCTAAGGTCACACAGGCATTGATGGGCTCAAGCCTAAAACCAAGGTCTGCTGACTCCTAGACTACAATAGGTACTTTAATTTCCAAAATGTTTTCATTTTGAATTGGTTTTAGCATGAGTTGGACCATAGAATCTTGGAAGATGAGATTTGCTTAAGTTCCTGGAATACCATATTATGTGAACAACTAACAGAGGGTAATAAAATATATGAGTTTGTGAAGTTTCTATTTTGTTTAAAAATAGAAAGTAGATTTATTCTTAATGGTCTTTTTAAAAGTTTAATACTTTGCAGCTGATTACATTGAGCAAGATTAGGTTAAGGAATAGAATTCTTTTTTTTTTTTTTTTTTTTTTTTTGAGATGGAGTCTCACTCTGTCACCCAGGCTGGAGTGCAGTGGTGTGATCTCTGCTCACTGCAACCTCCACCTCCCAAGTTCAAGCGATTCTTCTGCCTCAGCCTCCTGAGTAGCTGGGATTACAGTCACGCACCACTATGCCAGGCTAATTTTTGTATTTTTAGTAGAGACAGGGTTTCACCATGTTGGTCAGGCTGGTCTCGAATTCCTGACCTCGTGATCCACCTGCCTCAGCCTCTCAAAGTGGTGGGATTACAGGCATGAGCTACCGTGCCTGGCCAGGAATATAATTCTTTGTTGTGCTTTTAGATTCAAGACCTTTGAACTCAGTGTGTGGTCTCAAAAATATGATATTGCCTATTACGTTATATTACATAAATAATCTATGATGAGTATGGTACTTTTATTGGATTAGATCAGGGCTTCTCAATCTTGGCATTATAGATATTTTGAACTGAATAATTTTTTTGTGGTGGAAAGGCTGTTTTATACATTGTAGTATGTTTAACAGTGTTCCTAGCCTATTTGGCAGGATCACCACCCCTTACCCCCCCCACCACCACCACCACCACCACCACTCAGTTGTAATGATACAAAATGCCCTGAGGGGTGAATTCACTCAATTGAGAACCATTGGATTAGAGTGTAGACTTCTGGTAATGAAATTCCATCAGATTATGCACATTTTTAAAAACCTTAATATCTCAACTTTCTTGATTCTTATATCTCAAACTTCAATGTTCTTGTAAAGAATACCAGTAAAGCCCTTGTAGGCTTCTTATTGTTAGTACCTCCTTGAAATCCAGAAATAGCAACATCACTTGTTTTTCAGTGCAGAAAGACCCAAGTTTAAAACCAATTCAAAAATTTATGACTGTGTCTTTCACTGATGAGCTTAAAACATTAGCAGCTGGGCGTGGTGGCTTATGTCTGTAATCCTGGCACTTTGGGAGGTTGAGGTGGGCAGATCACTTGAGGCCAGGAGTTCCAGACCAGCTTAGCCAACCTGGAAAATCCCTGTCTCTTAAAAATACAAAAATTAGCTGGTTATGGTGGTACATGCCTCTAGTCCCAGCTACTTGCGAGGCTGAGTTGGGAGGATCACTTGAACCCGGAGGTAGAGGTTGCAGTAAGCTGAGATCATGCCACTGCACTCCAGCCTGAGCTACAGAGCAAGACTCTGTTTCAAAAAAAAAAAAAAAGCATTAGCAAGTGCATTCAACGATGAGGAATAAAATAATTCTAAAACTATTAATATAAATCAAATTATTAAATTGAATCTATTACCATTAAGTACTGGAAGCTATTGTAGTGAACTTTGCTGTTGTACTTAAACCTGGCTTTGATGAACAGATTTAAAGAAATAGATGAATGTGTTGACATACTTGGGAGTTTAGATAGAAGAAATACGTAATATCTATTAATATACCTGACTTTTCAGTCTCTACATAGCTTCAGCTATTAGTGTTTACCATGGATAATTTATATGCATTATTTATTAATGACTGTAGAATTCTGATTATAAATGATCTAATTATACTATTTGTAGCTTTTAGGAATTGCTATTAACCTACAGTTTGAATGAAATCTGATTATCATACCTGTGAAATTGTATTATAATTTGTCAACAAACTATTATTTAGTGTCTCAACCTAAAGTATAAATTCTGATCTTGAATTTTTCTTTTTAGGAAATAAAATTGTATTAGCCTTTTTCTTGTCCCCTTAATAACATAATTTTCTTCTTTTCCAAGCAAATTGTTTCTTAAAAACTTAATTATAAGAATCTTGATTTCTTCTCTGAGGTGTACATCTGAATACATTCAAGAGAAAAGATATACCATTGACTTTTTCTAGTTTAGTGGTTAAGCATTTATGTGCTAAGAGTTTTCACATATCCTTGTTTCTACTGATTTCCTTTTATTTCGTTTTTTCTTTCCATTTAGAGAAACCTATGTAGAACAAGAACAGGGAGAAAATGCTAATGACAGGAATGATAGAGCGATTCGAGTAGCAGCAAAATGGTACAATGAACATTTGAAAAAAATGTCAGCAGACAACCAGCTGCAAGTTATCTTCATAACAAATGACAGGAGAAACAAAGAGAAAGCCATAGAAGAAGGAATACCAGCTTTCACTTGTAAGTCTAAATGTAGAAGTACTTAGTGCATGTTTGCAAATGCGTGTAAAAATAATCATTAGGCCTATAGTCAGATGTTCACTTTACTATTTAGTATTTTCGTAGTCCTATATAACTTCATGTGATATTTTTGTATTTTTAAATTTCACATAGTTTTTAACCTAAATATGTTGTGCCCAGTGGCTGTTAATTTTCCCCTCACTATTTGCAACTGGTTTAGCAATGAAATCTCATAAATATACTGGAACCCCTGCTTCTGCTTAGGTATGATCACATCAACAGATTTTTGGGTTTTGTTTTTTAAATAAATTGAGGCCAGGTGCTGTAATCCCAGCACTTTGGGAGGTCAGGGCAAGAGGCTTGCTTGAGACCAGGAGTTCAGGACCAGCCTGGGCAACATAGGGAGACTATAGCTCTACAGGAAAAAAAAAAAAAGCCGTGCATGGTAGTATGTAACTATAGTCCCAGCTACTCGGGAGGCTAAGGCAGGAAGGTAGCTTGAGCCCAGGGATTCTAGGCTGTAGTGATGTGTAATTGCGCCGCTGCACTCCAGCCTGAGAGACAGAGTGAGACTCTCAGTGTGTCTCAATGAATGAAAGAATGACGTGTATACTGTCGCAAACAAGACTATCCATTTTTTTCATATCTAAGGAAAAAACACTTATCAAAAACAACATAAACTTATTTTTTCAGGTGAAGAATATGTAAAGAGCCTAACTGCTAACCCCGAACTCATAGATCGTCTTGCTTGTTTGTCTGAAGAAGGGGTATGTTTTTGTTTTGTTTTTGAAAAGTAAAAATATTAAAATAGCCACTTTGGAATATTAGGCATATAGTTACCAAATTTAAAAATTGGAATGTCGGTGGGTAAGCTGGATTTGGAATAGTTGTGTTATAAACAGGAGTGGATGTCATAGGCTTATTGAAATGCCATTCCTAAAGGAGTTAACTTTCTAAAATAGATATATTCCCATTAACCTGAGTAGGGCCTGGTACCTGGTAGCACTGTTTGGTTGAGGAAAAAATGAACGGAGTCCATGGCTGATTTGTGAATAAAGAGTAGCTGCTGACAAATGAAGTGGCAGGCACTGCAGACAGAGGAAAGAAGAGGGAGGGGAGTGTCCAGATAGTAAAGACCTAGAACTTATTCTGTAGGTTAGTAATTTTTCAATTGATTTATAAAGATCTCCCTGAAGGGCTGCTATGAAGAGGAAAGGATTCTGAGATCCCTTCCTTATATGTCAGGCTAAGAAAAAGTAATGGTATATGAATGTGGATTGGTGGAGCAGGAGAGAATGATTGGAAATGGTATTTGTTTGTAAGACCACTCTCATGTCAGTGTGTAACATTAAGCATTTTATCCAGGAAAGATTAGAGGCAGAGAGGTGAGTAAAGGAGTCATTACAATAGCTGATGTGAGAAGGAGTGCTAAGGGAATAATTAAATTCTGAGCATTCATTTTCTTATATATAAATATATAATGTTTAGCAATAATAACTTCATAGTGTTGTTATAAGGATCAAATAAGATGATAACTGTAGCATTAATACAATTTTCATCCTAGTGCCTGGCACATAGGTATGGTAAATATAAATGGTAGCCCTTGTTATAGAAATAGGTTTTAAGTGATAGGACATTATACATAAATCCAGTCTTTACACTTCTGTCATCCCTTCTTACCTTTATGATACTTTATGAAACCAAAAGGAAATGAGAAGATAAAAGTTGGGTTTGATTTTTGAAATACAGATTTAGTATTGCCCTAATATGTAGCCACTTAGTTATATATGACTATTTAAATTTAATATGTATTAAAAATTCAGTTTCTTGGTGGTACTATCTGTCTTTCAAGTGCCCAAGAGAAACTTGTGTCTAGTGGCTACCATATTAGAGATCGCAAAATGAATACTTCCTTCATCATAGAAAGCTGTTTTTGTTAGCACTGGCCTATAAGAAACACTGCTATCTTCTCTCCTATTCAGAGTTGTGTATATCATAATGTAGATTTCAAAAATTCTCTGATATTAATAATAGTTGTGTATTGAGTGAACAGAAGACTTATTAGCGGCATCTTTTGGTTTGCTTCTTTCATAGAATGAAATAGAAAGTGGAAAAATAATATTTTCAGAGCATCTTCCCTTAAGTAAGCTACAGCAAGGCATAAAATCTGGTACATACCTTCAAGGAACATTTAGAGCTAGCAGGGAAAATTACTTGGAAGCTACAGTATGGATTCATGGCGACAATGAAGAAAATAAAGAGGCAAGTATATAAATAAATTCCTTATACACTAAAATAAAGATGATATTTTATATATTATGAACACTTAATGGTAAATACTATTTGTGTAACATATGAGGCTTCACATACTTTAAAGCAAATAGTAACTTTTTTCTTTTTTTTTTTGCAGTGCTCACAATTTGTCAGGTAGTTTTTTAAATCTTTGCGCATGGCATTTCATTTAATATTCAACCCAACCTATAAAAACTAGGTAGTGTACTCTTATTTGACCAATCAGGACTTGAGATTTAGAGAGCATAAATAATTTTTCCAAAGTCTCTTGTTACCAGTGTAAGTTATGATGGAGCCATGAACACAGCCTGTGTTTTCTGACTTACATTTTTTCTACCTGGTATTGAGAAATTAAAGTTGTGGAATTAGGGACACAATAGAGAAAGAAAATCTATAAAGGAGAAATAGAGATTCCATAGAGATATTCAGAGTGTATGTAAATATCTGTTAGATGATCTTCCCTTTATTATATTGCCATTAAAAATAATTTGGGCACGTGCCCTCTGTTGTTTTAAACAGATAATCTTACAGGGACTTAAACATTTAAACAGAGCTGTTCACGAAGATATTGTGGCTGTGGAGCTTCTCCCCAAGAGTCAGTGGGTAGCACCATCTTCTGTGGTTTTACATGATGAAGGTCAAAATGAAGAAGATGTGGAGAAAGAAGAAGAGACAGAACGAATGGTATGAATCTAAGCAGGATTTTTTTTTGTCTGTGTAGCTTTGTATTATTAATATGTCAGCTTTGGAAAACAAGTTTCATTGCTTTCAGATTTATTGCATAAAATCATAGTTCTGTATATTTAACGCATGTCATACACATGGTTTTTTTCTCTTCTATGTAGTTTTCTTTTATTGTCTTAATTTGCTCAAATAAATGGGTTTAAATGCAAACAGACTGTTAGTATGAGTTAATACAAGTATGAAACTGAAAATCTGTGACAGTCAAGTATATTATTAGACTTAGTGAGATTTAAGTAAATATGTGTTTAACATTTTCTGAAATGCTTTAAGTAATGTTTTAGGAAATGTTTTAGAAAATGCTTTAGGTAAAATTCCCTTAACATAATAGACGTAATTCTGGGCCATTATATTTGGGCAACTTATCTGATACCATATTTATTATGAAGAGAATACTTTCAGTTATTTCTTATGATATGCGCTAAGTCTACTTGATATGGCCTATTTCTGTATTTTATAATTACAATATTATAAATAGTTGGAATGCATGTAACAGTTTTTTATTCTTCTTTTTCCATCATTTATATTCATTGCTCTGGAGTCTCACTATAAAATTATCCATGGAGAGTCCAGGCCTTTGGATAGTGTTAAGAGGTGAAATACCATAGGAACTTTTGTAATTTCTAATAGCAGACCCTCTTTATTTGGGTTTTTATTTTTTATAAGGAAGAACCTTTAGAATTAATAAATAAAGGTCCAAAGGGAACTAGTCACCATACCACATAGCTAATTTGTACAAACTAGTACTAAAACCCTAATCTAATTCCCAGACCTGTGTGTGTATTTTAGTCAGTAAATCCTCATGTTAATCCTGAAAAGTGTTGAGTTCTAACATACGTATTCAGTTATATTTATTTATTTGTTTTTGCTTTTTGATTGTTTTGTAGTACTTTATTATCAAGAGAGAATGTCTGTGGTTTGGTTTGGCATGCATGTTCTTGTCTAGAATGTTGAAACATCAACATTCTGTAGTCTTATGTCATAATTTACTGCCTGAATGGATTAGTATCCATGTATGCATTTTGATTTTGAAAGGAAATTGCCTGATAATACTTAGAGGAATATAACTGAACATTTTAATTTTTATATCTCAGCTTAAGACTGCTGTAAGCGAGAAAATGTTGAAGCCTACAGGTAGAGTTGTAGGAATAATAAAAAGGAATTGGAGACCATATTGTGGCATGCTTTCCAAGTCTGACATTAAGGAGGTGAGTAAAGAGCATTTACTATGTAATAAAAAAATGATAAACATTTAATAGAACTTATAGCCTTTCTTTTGCCTCCATCCTCAGATTTTTTTTGTGTAAAATCTTTATTCCTAATTTTTGCTAGTCAAGAAGACATCTCTTTACACCTGCTGATAAGAGAATCCCTCGAATTCGCATAGAAACCAGACAGGCTTCCACATTAGAAGGACGGAGAATTATTGTTGCTATTGATGGTTGGCCCAGAAATTCCAGATATCCAAATGTAAGCTTAAAGTATTAATTTTATGTGGGGATGTTTAATTAAAATTTTGTGAATAGTATTTCTGCTTTTAATAAAAACAATCTACTTTTATGTAGAATTTGTACTGAAATTTAGAGATATTTCACAAAGTGACCTGGTAAGTAGCATGTCTACTTTGAAAATTAATTTTATGAAATTCCAGTGTAAATCATTTGGTTACTTTTATGTAAATTTCTTCTTTTTGAGAGAGAGTCTCACCCTGTTGCCCCGGCTGGAGTGCAGTTCTGTGATTTCGGCCCACTGCACCCTCAGCCTCCCAGGTTCAAGCGATTCTTGTGTCTCAGCCTCCCGATTAGCTGGGACTACAGGCGTGCACTACCGTGCCCAGCTAATTTTTAGTAGACATAGGGTTTCGCTGTGTTGGCCAGGCTGGTCTTGAACTGGCCTCAAGTGATCCACCCACCTCAGCCTCCCAAAATGCTGAGATTACAGGCATGAGCCAATGTGCCTGGCCTCTTTTATGTAAGTTTTTAAACCTATAAGTTTTATTGATCATGACTATGAAAAGTGAGTTCTATATAGATTCTAATCAACAAATTTTGAAAAGATTATATTGGAAGCACATTTTAAACTTGAACATTAATAAGAAATAGATGCTTTAGAATGTAAGAGCTGGACCCTTACAAAGTTTCCATCATAAATCAGTTGAGAAGTCTTGTCTAATTTACTAAAGGGTCATTTTTCAGAAATCGTTATGGGAATATTTAGGAATACTGAGAAGATATGTAAATGCTGAAGAATTTAATATGATAAGATGTAAATTTGCTATAAAATAGGCGTTTCTAATAATGCCTCTTGGTTTCAGGGACACTTTGTGAGAAATTTAGGTGATGTTGGAGAGAAAGAGACTGAAACAGAAGTTTTGTTACTTGAACACGATGTTCCCCATCAGCCTTTTTCACAGGCTGTTCTTAGTTTTCTGCCAAAGATGCCCTGGAGCATTACTGAAAAGGTAAGTTGAAAGTAATTTGTAGTGACTTTATAAATTATTATATCCTGCCTAGTTTTGTTTAATTTCTATATGTGTTTTTAAATATGTAGACACCACGGGCCCTCTTTTCCTGCATTTTGTTGGGTATAGCATTCTTAGGAATTATAGAAGAAGTCATTTGCTTCTTCATTGAAGGGTAAGTTTTTCTATGTGGCAGACACTTTCATATGTTAAATGTTTCAAAGGGAAGGAAACCATTAGTTACAAATCATACGTGGTGTCTCTCTGCTCCAGTGCAGGAAAAAGAAATGTGGTTGTCATCAAGAAAATACAGCTAAATTGTTTTTGTATACATATTACTGATTTCACAAGAGCTATTAATATGTTGTAGTTGTGCTTTGGAAATAATTTATTTGTTTATCATTTCATGTCTTCTAGGACATGAAAAACCGAGAAGACCTGAGGCATCTGTGTATTTGTAGTGTAGACCCACCAGGATGTACTGATATAGACGATGCTCTACATTGTCGAGAACTCGAAAATGGAAATTTGGAGGTATTCATATGTAATAGTGTTCTTACCTAAATATAGTTCTGTTCTGAGTTCATTTTCTTTTGAACTAGAATAGAATTTGCTTGTTAATTACTCTTGTGAAGTATAATTGTAGCTGCACGCTATTGGCCATATGTCAGAAGTTGAAATGGTAGAGGTGACTGAGTCTTTTTTAAATTTAGCTAAACTTTATCTTATTAAAACTCCATTAGGTACATTTACCCAGTCAAGCATATTGACATCCTTTTATTTTTATCTTTTTAAGGTTGGTGTTCATATTGCTGATGTGAGCCATTTTATTAGGCCAGGAAATGCCTTGGATCAAGAATCAGCCAGAAGAGGAACAACTGTGTATCTTTGTGAAAAGGTAAATGTATTGAATTTAAAAATTTAACAGTCATGGACACTTAAGGATTCTTAAACGGCCATGAATTAGCTAAGAAAAATACATGGAATAATGTGGCTTTAAATCACTAAATATATTGCAAATTTTTGTTATCGAGTGGTTCAAATAACAAGTAAAGTATTGTGAAAGTCAAGGGGAAGATTAAACTTAGTCTATTAGTGATTTATTGTCAGAGTTCTTCTGTATACTTTTTTCCATAAAAATTTAGTTTCTCTTTTCTTTTTTTAGTATTTTAAAAACACCTTGTAGTTTATATTAAGCATTGGAGAAAGGTCCAGTCATAGAGTGTGTCAGGTATCAAGTATAAACTTATACAGACCAGAGATTTAAAACTTTCAGAGGACAGCTAGGTCGTTAGTGTAGAGGGCTTAAACTTAGATTAATTGGCATGAAGTCCAGTTTTCCTTCATAGCTTTCCTTCTTTAACAATTTTGTATAAGTGCTTTTATAGAAACAAACCTTTTATTTGACCTTTTCTCAATTCTCCTATTTACAAAAAGCAGAACACTCTTTTCTTTCCTTGTTTAATTAATGTTATTTGAGAATAGAACCTCACATAAATGTATGGTTATGGCTAAGTAATCTGTGGTTCTATTTTTATCTTTTGCAGAGGATTGACATGGTTCCAGAGTTGCTTAGCTCTAACTTGTGTTCCTTAAAATGTGACGTGGACAGGTATTTCTGCATGGTTTTTTTTCCTTGAAGACATTGTATTTACTACTTTAACCTGATTCCCATTAACAAATACTCTGTATTTTCCTTCACAGGCTGGCATTTTCATGTATTTGGGAAATGAATCACAATGCTGAAATCTTAAAAACGAAGTTTACCAAAAGTGTTATTAATTCAAAGGTTCGTTTCATGGCTATTAATCTCTAATTTTTAAACTTTTTGGTACTTTTTTGAAAAAAGCTAAATAAATTTTTTAAAGATTCACATGTACGTATATATACACATATATAAAAATATTTATATATTTGAAAAGAGATGTTATGTATAATTATATGTATATTTACTTAACCTAAAATAGAAAAAACATATACATGTAAGTACCTGAGATATAAACATAGTCTAAAAAAGTCCCCAGCTGCGGGCACGTGCTTAAACATGTACAGATGCACTTAAATTTACACTAAAACTCATTTGGCCCTTTTGCTACCTACTCTCAGAGAAGAATGCAGAACAGGCCACCAGAGTCTTATTGCCAGCTTTCTTGACCCAGCTAGTACCAAGCCAAAGTAACCAGCCCCAGCCCTACTGCCATCACCTAAATTTGAGATTCCTGCCCACTTCTTGAGAATTTTTCAGTCAAGCTAGATGCTCTTTTGAACATGTAAAGTGGATACAGACAAATGTATTTCAGTTTGGGTGGGAGGGGAAGAGTCTTTCTAGGCAGAAAAACAAGGGCTAGGTCTGTGCCCTCAGGATAGAATGGGGGCACTGTTATAGCAAAATTTTGAGGGTTTTTTTTTTCCAATTATAAGCAGATAATTTTTGATGTGATTCAGAAATTAGTTCATGTTGCAGTTGTCCTGTATTCAGAAACTTACAAAGAATATATACTTGAAAAGACCAACTAGTGGTTTTATGCCCTAACTCAAGAACCCTAGTAATTGAAGCTGTTCCTACTTATAAATGGTTAGTGTTTTAAAAGTCAGCAGGTACACCACTTCTTTCTTCACATTTTCTCACAGAAATGATGTTTAAGTCACCATTGGATTTTAGTAGAACTAGCCTGAGATCATGTTTATTCATAATGGAGCCAGGTTATCTTTCTTGTCCTTTTCCTGTTTCTTTGTACTTCTCCCAAAAATCCCTTATGTTCTCTCTTATTTTGCCCTACATCTTTCTTCAAGATTTGCCAAACCCCTTATCTTCTAATGATCTGTTTTCCAAGCTTAACCTGTTTTTTCTGGCCCTTTGGCATCCTTCTTGCTGTTCTGCTAACCAGTGGTTGCAAAGAAAACAGTGTTAGACTGGTAAATAATGATGTGTGAATTATTTAAGCCATCACAGTTTGTACTTTAAAATAAGAATGACTTTTAATTCTTTAAGACTTGGTCAGTATAACAAAATTATATGAAAACAAACCTAGTGAATATATAACATAAAACCTTTTTCAGAGGGGAAACTCTTAGCCTTTAGTAGATGAGTTGGCTCTCCCAGGAATCCGACCTGACCTGCGTTATCTAACTCTGTTATGCTCTTTCTTATTTTCACTTGTGAAGCTACTCCTTAGACAAACAAAAAAAAAAAAAAGGAAAAAAAATGATGGATTTCTCTGAGAGAAATAGGAACAGAAGTAGTTATTTGTATATTTTGGTTATTTTTCATTGGGGATTACTTTAACTCTTTTCTACTATCATTTGTCTGGTTTTTACATGCTTAATTTTGGGTATTTACTGGATTTCCTGCAAAACATGGTGTCTCGACTCCTGCAGTCTTAATTATTTGCAGGGGAATAATGATCATCTGGAAAGGATTTCATATTTGTTATCAGAGAAGGAATCGATCTAACCTACCTTTGTGTTTTATTTTAGCATTATCTGGGTATTTATACAGTAATTGGAATATACAAGTAAAGTTTAAAGTTTATTTGCTAACAACATTGCCATTTTACCTTTTAAAATATGTTTGTTTATGTTGTATAATGCCTCAGATAAGAATTAATGAACCAGAAATCATAGATGTGAAGTATAATATCATAGCTAAGAATTTCTATTTTGTTACTGATTTTAGGTTTTCTGAAATCATGGATTTTATGTAGTGAAAGTAGGAGGACATATTGAAAACCATTTTTCTATCATTTATAAGAATTATATAACATACATTTTCTTTTTTAGGCATCTCTGACGTATGCTGAAGCTCAGTTGAGAATTGATTCAGCAAACATGAATGATGATATTACCACTAGTCTCCGTGGACTGAATAAACTAGCCAAAATTCTGAAGAAAAGAAGGATTGAAAAAGGGTATATTTTGTTTTTCATAGTATTAAGATAATTTTTATACTCTTTACATTGTTTGATCATAGGCAATGATGAATTATTTAAAAGGGTGAATAGAGACTCCTGTTTCTTCTAGCTTCCATTTATGTATGTATGTATGTATTTGAAACGGAGTTTTACTCTGTCACCCACGCTGGAGTGCAATGGCACAATCTCGGCTGACTGTAACCTCTGCCTCCCGAATTCGAACAATTCTCCTGTCGTTCAAGTAGCTGGGATTACAGGTGCCCACCACCACGCCCAGCTAATTTTTGTATTTTTAGTAGATATGGAGTTTCACCTTGTTGGCCAGGCTGGTCTTGAACTCCTGACCTCAGGTGATCCAGCCGCCTCGGCCTCCCAAAGTGTTGGGATTACAGGTGTGAGCCACCATGCCCAGCCTCTAGCTTCCTTTTAAATGTTAGCAACTTGATTCTGGACTGATGTTTGTTCAGGAGTTCCATCCTTGTAATTTGTTGTGTTAAAAAATTGTGTTTGAGTTAAAGATCTTGAAGAAATTCCAGGAAGGCAAGAACACCCTAAGATTTCTGGAAATTGTTTCTAATTTTAATTAGAAATGAGTTTCCAGATTGGACATTAGGTTTCAGAGGTTTAAATAAACGTAGATTAGGTCCTCCTTGCACTTTAAATTTTGGAGATTATTTAATTCAACCTCCTCATTTTTTAGGCAATTAAAAGTTGCATAAAAGGAGTCTTCCCAAAGATCTGACTAGTAACAGATCTGAGTCTTTTAGCTGTTATGTCATGGCTTTTGCCTAACTACAAAAGGCGTAAGGTATAGAGTATTAACTCAGGCATGTTGAAGGAAACCAGTTAAGAGAAATTTGACTCTTAAAAGACGTTGTTGACTATCAGAGGAAACCAAGTACATGAACCTTCCAGATGTTGGTCTCAGAGTTCCCAAGCCCCTCTAGGATAGGGTCACAAGCAGTTACTAAAGGTGTGGTGAGTGCGGATTGTACATTTGTGTCATTTCATAAGATGCGCCTATTTAAATTCATTAAAATTAATAAAATTAACAACTTAGTTCCTCAGCCTTACTAGCCATATTTCAAGTGCTCAATAGCCACATGTGACTAATGACTATCACATTGGACAGGGCACACATAGAACATTTCCATCACTGCAGAACGTTCTGTTGGACAGTGTTTGAGGTAGTTATGTACCTATGTCTACTAACACCTCAGTTTTCAGGGAATTTTTTATGTGATCTTAAATATGAAACTTGAAACAGAAAGGATCATTTGGGCATGCTAAAACCCAGTGGATACTATTAAACTTGAGCAAAACTTTCACTCAAGCTTGTCACTTGTATATAAGAAGAAGATAATTGAATTTTTTTGTGTGACACAAAACACCACAAAGTTTTTTTTTTAAGCAATGTAAATAAAATGCAAATTGAAGCTGTATTTATTTTAATAGTTTTAAAGTAAGAATTCGCATTTGTAACATAGCTTTTTAAAACTGAGGATATTTTTTAATTTCAGCAGTCTGTATTTTTAATTTGGTAAGTAGATGGTTGCCTCCTGGGAAAACATCATTGAATCATTTTAGTCTTAGGGAGAATTGAAAAAGCAATCAGAAAAAAAAACCGTCTTTTGCCTTCTAAAGTATTAATACTCATGGGTAGACATAACATTTTAGGTGTTCTATGAGGAAAAATGATCAAAATGTGATAAGTATACCTTGCTTTTTATGTCAAAATCCATTAATAAATACATATCAGACCTGAAGTAGAGCCTTGTTTTAAGTGCACACTACAAGGCAAGAAAGGAATATTTTTGAGATTCTCTTTTTAGTATGTGTTCCTACTATAGTTCTTTTAATAAAGGTGAGGAATTGAAGAAGACAAGGACTTAGACTTAGTGTTTCTTTTAACTTGCTCCATCTTATTTTAATTTTTCTCTTCCCCTTCTTTTCCTTCTCCATGATTGTTCAAGGTTGCCCAGTCTCATTAAAATTTTTAGTTTTAGGTTGATTTGGAGCTGACCTCATGAAAGTTATGTCAAGGTGTAAGAAACATTAGACTTGCCTTGCCTTGTGGGAATTTACTTTCCAAAGGGGAACTTGCCAGCTCATTAAATGAACCATGTGTGTAAAGTCCTGAGCATGGATTGTTTATCTGACACTTAGCAATCAAATATTAATAGCCATCACTACTTGTAACCTATTAGTGATACTAGGTTATCAGTTGCTTCTCTTTTGGTTCAGTCTTTGTGGAAGATACTTTTGAACTGTGGATCTTCTGGTGTTACTAAGCTACCCACAGCAGCTTCCCCTTTTGCCCCTCTTTATTGTCCCCTGCCCCAATAACTGTTTTCTGTAGTAAATTAAATACAATCAATCCCCTTCTTTATTTGTAAAAGTGATTAAAAACCTGTGTAGCTCAATAAAAACTCATCGTTTGGGTACAGAAGATATAACCCTCAGAAGCACAGGGATTCAGATTTCCTTGTGTTGCTATCGTCCTCTCTTGTTAAATGCATTTTAAATCTACTGAGCTGTTCATGAAAGCTCTACTGAGCTGTTTATGAAAATAGAACATGAAACAGCAGATGGTCATAAAGCCTTCAGAAGAGCAACTATTACACACTTGCTGTAGTCATTGTCTTTTTTAAAAGAATAATTTCTATACTTTTGTCTTTTATTGGCTTGCTTGACTATAATTTTTCTCTTTAATTTTTATGTAGGGCTTTGACTCTATCCTCTCCTGAAGTTCGATTCCACATGGACAGTGAAACTCACGATCCTATAGATCTGCAGACCAAGGAACTTAGGTTTGTAATTTTTTTGATGGGCATTAGATAAGATTTTTTTATTTTAATTGTCATGTCTACTGTAAGTACAAATAATGAAAACGTTTATATACAAAATAATGATTAGGGTCATGATTTCTACTTTATTTGGCTTGCAAAGGACAGAAAAGTAAATTTAAGCTCAGTTTTTCTTCTATAAAACTGCGTTTAGTCGCATAATAGAAAAACTTTCAATTTGAATTTGTTTGCTTTGATGTGTGATGTATTAGAACTTGACTAGTAATAGTTAGAGTAAGATAAAAAAAATTACCCCAATTAATTTCTAAAGTAGAATATACTGTAGTGCAGGGGTTCCCAGCCCCTGGGCTGTGAGCTTTACTACCTGAGCTCTGCCTTCTGTCAGATCGGTGGCAGCATTAGATTCCCATTGGAGCGCCAGTCCTATTGTGAACTGTGTGTAGGAGGGATCTAAGTTGTGCACTTCTTATGATAATCTAATGCCTGATGAAACCATCCCTCCCTCCCCTTGTCGCATAGAAGAGTTGTTTTCCATGAAACCCGTCCCTGGTGCCAGAAAGATGGGGGTAGGATAGAATAATAGATAGTAGGATAGATAGTAGGGTAGAATAATGGTGAAGATCATGGGTTATGAAGCCAGACTCCCTAGGTTTGGATCCCTCTGCTGTTATTACTATTATATTTCCCACTAAAGTAGTTATTTGACTTCTCCATGCCTCAATTTATTTGTCTGTAAATTGCCTATGATTGATAATGGCACCTACCTCATAGGGTGCTGTGAGGGTGATATTAGCTATTGTTGTTTATTGATTTAGTTAAGATGTAGGAAACAAGAATTTTTTTGTTAAATCAGGGTTTAGGCCTCTTTCCCTGCCTCTTATTTACATTAAGGTAATTTTGGAATTCAACATGCATATGCACTTTTCTAATAGATGACCAAGGGTTAAAAATGGGAATATACTCAAATTTTTTACTTAGAGTAAATATGTGCTTGCGTGCTATTATAATATCTAACAATCCCTTATAGTAGAACTTCTGTGTAAGTATGTTTAATATTAATGCTAATAATGAGCCCAGTACTAAGAGCTTTTATGAGCAACAGGTTGACACTAGCTTTGCCAAAGTAAAATATCAGCCATTTCTTCTTACCAAGAAGAAGAAAGAACACATTTCTGAGATGTCCCCATGTGATTGGAGGTCTTTCTAATATTTTTAAAATGAATATACTTTAGAAATATTGTCAAGAAGTTACAAGATGAAACTTAAATGGAAGGTTAATAATATGTGTTCATTGACTTGCAAGACAGAAAGCACTGTATCAACAGAAGGTGGATCATTTACTAAACTAACCGAAAAATGTATGTGAATAACTATATAGAGAATCACAGCAGTATCAGATTGGTTAAGAGTTTTGAAGTCAGATTGTGTGGACTCAAATTCTCATACTGCTAGTAACTCTCACCTTGAGCAAGAGAATAATGAATATATCCTCAATTTTCTCATCTGTAAAACAGAGTTTGTGGGTGTGTGTGTTGAGGGCAGGATGTACTTATAGCACAATGACTGACCCATTGTAAGTATCCAAATTAGCTATTATAAATATGGTCTCTTCATTTGAGTAATTTATTGTTAAAAATTTTGGTTTTTAAGCCAAAATTTGTATGATCTAAATAGCTTTTAGTTCTTGTAAACTTTATTGATTTACAATTAAATAAAAATATTTTTGGACCTGGTAAAATCAAGTAAAAATGCTTGTTTTCATTTCATTTATAAATAGAGTAGTAAAGCTTCTGTTTTTGAGTGCAATTTTGTTGTTGTTTTTTGACACAGAGTCTTGCTCTGTCACCCAGCCTGGAGTGCAGTGATGCGATCTCGGCTCACTGCAACCTCCACCTCCCGGGTTCAAGTGATTCTCATGCCTCAGCCTCTCAAGTAGCCGGGACTACAGGAGTGTGCCACCAGACCTGGCTAATTTTTTTATATTTTTAGTAGAGTCAGGGTTTCGTCATGTTGGCCAGACTGGTCCTCGAACTCCTGGGCTCAAATGATTTGCCTGCCTCGGCCTCCCAAAGTGCTGGGATTACAGGTGTGAGCCACTGCAACTGGCTGAGTGCAATTTGTAAAGTTTCCTCTAGCATGTAAGATTTACTCATGCAGTAGTTGCATAATAAGAGATTGTTAGCGGAGTAACTGAGAGATGAAAGAATCATAAGTTATTTAAAATACAAATGTACACACACATATGAATGTTTACATAGGAAATGCTCTTATTATCTTCTTGGTAACAAAGGTAACCTGTGAAAAAATATGATATATAGAAGTCTCAGATTCTCTTTTTTGTTTGTTTAATGCTTTTTCCATTGGCAGGGAAACAAATTCCATGGTTGAAGAATTTATGTTACTTGCCAATATTTCTGTTGCAAAAAAAATTCATGAGGAATTTTCTGAACATGCTCTGCTTCGAAAACATCCTGCTCCACCTCCATCAAATTATGAAATTCTTGTTAAGGCAGCCAGGTCAAGGGTAAGGTCCTACAGTTTGAAAAATCATCTATTTGTGTTTTGATCTACCTGTTGTTCTAAATAATTTATATTCATATTTCCATAAAGGTTTTATTGTTTGTTAATACAAGAATATGCCAATAGTTCTTTTTTCTTTTGGTTTTTTTTTTGAGACAGGGTCTCACTGTCACCCAGACTGGAGTGCAGTGGCACGATCTCGGCTCACTGCACCCTCCACCTCCCACCCAGTCTCAAGCCATCCTCCCGCCTCAGCCTCCTGAGGAGCTGGGACTGCAGGCGCACACCACCATGAGTGGCTAATTTTTTGTATTTTTTTGGTAGAGGTAGATTTTCACTATGTTGCCCAGGCTGGTCTCAAACTCCTGGACTCAAGTAATTATCTCATCTCGGCCTCCCAAAGTGCTGTGCTGGGATTACAGGTGTGAGCCACCGCACCCAGCCTAATGTTTTTAAAGAGCACCCTATGCTAAAGCTGGATGTTTAGACTAAGATCTATGCAGCATCCTGGTCATATAAAACTCTTCCATGTTTCCTTGTCTTTATGCATGTTTCATATGTCTATGTTGCTTCATGGCTCCTGTCAACTGCCTGACTTTACAAATAATGTATTTTTTTTTTTTATTTATTTACTTCAACTCAGTTAAATCCTTTCCATTTCTTGTTCGTAAGAAAAGTATATTTATTGCATACATGGAAAAGAGGAAACTATAGAAAGGGCACATTTTTTCAGCCCTGTATACCCACTACTTCTTGTTAGTAGATTTTCATTTAGGGGTGCTTACCCCTTGGGTGACTATGGCCTACATTGCTTTTCCTTGGATTACCTGGTTAGGCCCTATCCTTCCCATCTAGAAGAGAGCTGGGAGCAGTAATGTTGGACTGCAGGGCATTATTCGATCATGATGGCATTGGTTTCTGATTTTGGATCAGACCTTTACGGCATGCATGCCCAGCTTCTCCAGATTCATAGGAATTGAATCAGCTTCTCACTCCTCTGCTCCAAGCCTTAATCTGTAAATAGGGATTTTTTCCTTCATTGTCTTATTTCTTCCAAAGACCTAAGAGAAGAGATGTATATTTGACTCATCTCCCTAGGGTAGAACAAAGCAGCTAAATTTGATGAATCCGAACATTGTTCTGACAGAACTGTAGTGACCAGTACAGTTTTGTTTCTGGCTACTACTTCTACTTTGAAGGGAAGGAAAATAACAAAAACATGATGTTTGTTCAGTCAGATCAGTTATATTTTGAAGACATAATGGTACTGACTTAGAAATGTTTAATATGGTGCTCTTCCCTCCTTTTTGTTTACAGAATTTGGAAATTAAGACTGATACAGCCAAGTCTTTGGCTGAGTCTTTGGATCAGGCCGAATCTCCTACTTTTCCATATCTAAACACTCTGTTGAGAATATTAGCCACTCGCTGTATGATGCAAGCTGTGTACTTCTGTTCTGGAATGGATAATGATTTTCATCACTATGGCTTAGCGTCTCCAATATACACACATTTTACTTCACCCATTAGAAGGTATTTTTTCCTTATGAAATTAAAGGAGATAGAAAATGGTTAATTTTGAATTTTAAAAGCACATATTAGTACTGACATACCATGGTTCTTATTTTTCCATCTATCTAGATACGCAGATGTCATTGTTCATCGGCTTTTGGCTGTGGCTATTGGGGCTGACTGTACTTATCCAGAGTTGACAGACAAACACAAGCTTGCAGATATATGTAAAAATCTAAATTTCCGGCACAAAATGGCTCAATATGCCCAACGTGCATCAGTGGCTTTTCATACCCAGGTATTTGCCTTTTGTCGATACTGCTAGAAAAAATGAAGTTTTGTTCATTTTTAATTTAATTTCAATTTTTTGTTTATTTAAAAATTTTTAAGACAATTTAAATAAGTTGTATGTTATTTTACAGTTATTCTTCAAAAGCAAAGGAATAGTAAGTGAAGAAGCCTATATTTTATTTGTAAGAAAGAATGCCATTGTGGTATTAATTCCAAAGTATGGTTTAGAAGGGACAGTCTTTTTTGAAGAAAAGGACAAACCAAACCCACAGCTTATTTATGATGATGAGGTACGGTATTTCTCATGTTTGTTTTCTTTTCCGGGGGGCACTTTTTCTTTGAGAGTTCATAAATGGTACCTATAAAGCATAAAATTATTTTTTGTACCCTGAAGAATTTATCCTGATCTCCAAATACATGCCAGAAAATCTACATTTAATTTTGCCAACTAAACTATGGTTTTACTCACAATTTCTCACCACTATATGTCTTCTCATATGCAATTGTTGTCTTTGATTTCTTTCTTTTATACCATGTAAAGTTTTGCCCTACATGGAACAATAAATGACTCTTTATAACTCGGGGAAGGAACTTTTTTTTTAAACTTACTTCTAGTGTTTCTTATTTGACACACATACTCCCTATTCTCCTTAGGAGAACCACAGCCCTGAGAGAATATTTGAACAATAAACTGGCCAAAATACCTTTGTGTTCCTCTACTAGACTAAAAATTTCCTATTTATTAGTGGGGTGATTAATTAATCACCAAGAATTTAATGAACATATATATTAGAAATACCTTAATGAAGGAGAAAGTAAGCACATAAGTAGGTCATATTTATATGAGACTACTAGGTTTGTGGCCTTTGTTATGTTGAACACGTAGATGCTTACTAATTTTTATATTTAAACTTCTACTATGTAAGATAAATTGTAAAGGATTAGAACAAAGCCTCAAATGTAAGGAAGCAATTAAGAATGATAAAATGTGTTTTGTTTAGATACCCTCACTTAAAATAGAAGATACAGTGTTCCATGTATTTGATAAAGTTAAAGTGAAAATCATGTTAGACTCATCTAATCTTCAACATCAGAAGATCCGAATGTCCCTGGTAGAACCACAGGTAAGGCCAAACTTAAAATTTCCTTGTTGTGATGGAACAAACAGTACATATTTTGTCAAAGAAGGGACGTAGTTATTTCTGTTTAATGTTAGAGGGAACCCTGTAAGTAGTGTAGAAACCAAATATTTGCATAGCAAATCCTGTTTTCTCACTGATTTCTTTAGGCCACGGGATTCTAGACATCTGAGATTCTGTTCAGGTCTTTGGTGCTAAAATAAAAAGGTCTTCCATTCTCCTGCCTAGTCTTTTCTATCTAGAAGTTTTGAACTCTGCATTTTGAAGATGAAGTGTAGGTGTTTCACCTAAGATACTGGTTCTTAACTTTTGTCCTTCCCCAACACACTTGAAATCAACTCTGATTCTGTCAATCACAGTGGCTCCCCATTGGGAAGGCTGTTTTGTAGTTAAAAAGAACACTTCCTAAATGACATGCTTCTCACCTGTTGAGACCATGTCTAGCTTTTACATTTTTGAACCACTGCTACTTTGTAAAATACCTTCTGTGTATAAAACCTTTAATTAGCCCCCTTTCCCCTCCCTACCACTACATCCTTTTAAATTTGAAGCTGGCAGTGGGGAAGGGGAGGATGAGGTTGAGATGTATTCTATCCTTTAAATCACCTTATTTCCCCCCATTTGCATTACTTTAGATACCAGGAATAAGCATTCCTACTGATACTTCAAACATGGACCTTAATGGACCAAAGAAAAAGAAGATGAAGCTTGGAAAATAGCTATATTCAACAAAAATCTTCAAAGACTGGTTTCTTTTTTAAAAGAAAAAACTTGAAAGAACACTTCTAAGCCTAAGTGTGTGATACAGTTTGTTACTTTTAAGTACATTTTAATAATTTCAGACATCTGCATTTTTATTGAACAGTTGACTGTATCTGACCCATCATACTACTATACTTCTGGGTTGAACAGAATTATTTATGCAGAATAATTCAATTGAATATCCATCACTTAAATACAGTGACAGGACAGCAACTTCAGGGATCTGTAAAGATCATTTAAATGGAGTGCTCATCTCATTGAGGAGCAGATTAATTTTGCGTAAGTACTTTGATTATTTAATATTTGTAAGAAAAAACTTTCATTTTCCTACAGAGGAAAATAGAACAATTTTAGAAGCAAGGAACAATCTCTTTTCTAAGTCTTGGAAGCTGTCAGTGTTGAGGATGTAATCTCCTTTGCCATCTTTAATTCACCTAACTTACACTAGGTGTTCTCTTACTGTCTTTAAAAGCTTCCTGTATTTTATTAGTGGTCCTTGAAAAACTGTGAATGTTTGGGAATTGGTAGAAAGGCAAAAAGTAGGATATTTTGACCTGACTGGAAAGATGGTTGTGTTTTTATTGCCAGGTAATAAGTGTGATCATTGTTGAACTTCAGCTCCAGTGTCTCTCCAGAATAAGACATTGGCATTCAAATGTCTATATCTTGTTACTTACAAAATAAAAAACAGATTAATTAGTGGCTTTTAAATTGTAGTTATATCAGTGTATATACACGAGGGGAACTGTATAAAGACATACTAAAGGGAACAGATTAAAATAAGTATTATTAATAAAATTTGGTGTGCCAGACTGACTACTTCCCTTGCTAATCACAGAGATTAGTAATGATTAAATTAATATCTTCAGGAATATTTTGGGATAGGGTTGCCTTAAAACATTTTACTTGGCTTATTCAATTTCTAAAGCACTTACGTTGTGCCAGGTTCCACTCAAGTAAATTATCTCTGCCTTCAAGGAGCTTGCAGTATAGTGAGAAAAGCCTGCCAAGTAAATCAGCAGGTATACTAAATAGGTAGTCATTTAGGCACTCAATAAATGTTGACTAATTTTTCCAGTTTCCTATTACTGAGGAAAACCTCCATACACTGAGGCAGAAACTTGTGTCAGTTGGAGGAAAATAGACTTGAGTAGTCTTTGGTCCAGGTAAAATGGGTCAGTGACACTGAAACAGTAGAGTAGGAGTCAAAAAACCTTTTCTGTGAAGTGCTAGAACATTTTAGACTTTGTTGGCTATGGTCTGTATTGCAACTATAGTACACAACTCTGCCGTTGATAGTGTGTAAGGAGCCATATACAATATGTAAACAAATCAACATGACTGTGTTTCAACAAGGCCTGATTTGTTAAGTTTCATATATAGTCATATGTCACTTAATGACAGGGATATGTTCTGAGACATGTCACTTGGCAATTTCATCATTGTGTGAAAATCATGATGTAGTTACACAAACCTAGATGGTATACCCTATGGTATCCTATATGGGATAGCCTATTGCTCCTAACCTACAAACCTGTATGGCATATTACTGTACTGATTACTGTAGGCGGTTGTAACACAGTGCTAAGTATTTGTGTATCTAAACATATCTAAACATAGAAAAGGTACAGTAAAAATATATATATAGATATATATAAGATATAAAATGGTACACCTATTTAGGACATTTACCATGAACAAGTTGGCAGGACTGGAAGCTGGCTCTGGGTGAGTCAGTAAGTGGTTAGTGAATGTGAAGGCCATGATATTACTGTGCACTACTGTAGACTTTTATAAACACTATATACTTAGGCTACATAAAGTAATTTCACTATGATGTTACCATGGCTGTGTCCCCAGGCAATAGGAATTTTTCAGCTCCATTGTAATCTTACGGGATCATCATCGTATATTTGGCCATTGTTGACCAAAAGTTATGCAGCACATCATTATAATTTTGATGTGTCACAAAACATTACTCATTTGATTTCCCCCACCCCCGCCAACCATTTAAAAAAGTTTGCCGGCTAGGTGCGGTGGCTCATGCCTGTAATCCTAGCATTTTGGGAGGACGAGGCGGGTGGATCACTCGATGTCAGGAGTTTGAGACCAGCCTGGCCAACATGGTAAAACGCCGTCTCTACTAAAAATACAAAAACTTAGCTGGGTGTAACGGCGGATGCCTGTAATCCCAGCTACTTGGGAGGCTGAGGCAGGAGAATCGCTTGAACCTGGGAGGCGGAAGTTGCAGTGAGCCGAGATTGCACCACTGCAGTTCAGCCTGGATGATGAGAGTGAGACTCCATCGCAAAAAAAAAAAAAAAAAAAGAAAAGAAAATTAGCCAGGTGTGGTGGCAAGTGCCTTTAATCCCACCTCAGGAGGCTGAGGCAGGAGAATCGCTTGAACCTGGGAGGCAGAGGTTGCAGTGAGCCAAGATCGCGCCACTGCACTCCAGCCTGGGTGACAGAACAAGACTGTCTCAAAAAAAAAAAAAGAGAAGAAAAACTGCCTACAGGCCATAGTTAACCTGCAATAGAGAAGAAAGGGAAGTAGGGCAGTGCATGACTGGCCTTAGGTTTTTTCTTTCCAAGTTTATTTTCTTGTGCTTCAGCTACTAGAAAGGTTTAATTCAGGGATAAGTCCCAATTGAGTAGTTCAAGATGATCAGAGACTTTGCTATTTTCCCCTAAGTTCTATTCCATAATCTAAAATGTTCTGTTTCTAGTGCCAGTTCTTATGCTAAGCAGGTTACGTGGAATATATCACTTAACTCAAAAAGCCCTGTTAAGCCAGGACTGTTATCTCCATTTAACAGATGAGAAAATGGAGGTTTATGGTCTGTTCTCACACTGCTACGAAGAAATACCCCAAACTGGGTAATTATTATAAAGGAAAGAGGTTTAATGGACTCAGTTCCGCATTGCTGGTGAGGCCTCAGGACACTTACACAATCATGGCAGAAAAAGGAGAAGCAGGCACCTTTTTCACAGGGCGGCAGGATGAAAATGACTGCCAGCAGTGGAAATGCCAGACGCTTATAAAACCTTCAGATCTCATGAGACCGGCTCACTATCACAGGAACAGCATGGAGGAAACCGCCCCCATGATCCAGTTACCTCCACCTGGTCCCACCCTTGACACGTGGGGATTGCTACAATTCAAGGTTAGATTTGGGTGAGGACACAGAGCCATACCATATCAGCCCAGATCAAGTAGTGACAGAGTAGGGATTTGAATACAGGTTATAGTCACTATTGTGTTATTTCTTGACTTTTGTACTATTAAAAAACTGTAGCCAGTGAGGCTTCTACCCTTAGTACCCAGAACTCCTTTTAGGTATAGCAATTGTTTTTAGGTAAATTTATATTGAGTTTAACACCTGTGTGATTAAAGACAACTTTCCAATGTAGTATCTGTAGCCATGTCCCCTAATGGCTATTAGTGTTCATGGTTAGTGTGTTGAAGATGAGCCAGGTACATAACGCGGCACATTTTCTGCAGGTCAGCAGTAAGGTTTCAAGGTACAGTTATGGAGGAAAGAAGAAAATGACACATTGATAACACAGGTCTTTATTCCCTTTTGAATGAGACAGTTTTTAAAAGTTGATTTATAAATACAAAAATACATTCTCCAAAGATAGTATTTCCAAACTGTTATATACCCATCTACTCCCAACATGGATATAAGTTTTTTAAAAAAATAGTTGTATATAACATACATATCTGCCCCAGTGTTACTTCACAGGCCTATGCCCTACGGGAACTCCACTCTCCCAGCCCCACTTTTTCTCTTGGTTCTCCCACATTCTTATTCTCCCACATCCCTACCCACGTTTGAGCTGGAAAGGATGTCCCTACCCTAGGCATGAGGTATATTTTATTCTGGGCACCACACATTTGCCCCATAGATAACAATACACGTGATGATGTCACTAGTACTACCTTTCTAGTATTTACATACTTAAAAGTAGTAACTAGAACAGTTATCACTGGAACTAAGAATTTTCCCCACAGAGGTGAACAGACCAAGAACTAAAATTTCAGGAAACCTGTTTAATTTCTTTTGTATCTTTGAAAAGTTAGTTTTATATCTAAGATTTCTTCACATAGGTTATAATTCATCTGTATGTTCAAGCTTTTATGTAAAAATATATAGTGCCTTCAGTTTTAACATAGTTTCACATGTTCTCAGAACTGCTAAATTCAGTGCTACCAGTAAGGCTTAATAAGTAGTTCATTGACCCTGTAAGATAGGAGCACTCAGCTCTGTCACAATTTGTTGTTAAACACATCACTCAATGTAAGTATAAAAATATTTATTGATAAAAAATAAACTTATAATTCAGCAACTTGAAGTTCCAGGAGCATTTCTGTTGTTCCTATGTCAGTAAGCCCTTGATTTTTCACATTAAGGAGGGAAAGCTAAGCATGTTACTTGAAGTAATTTTTTCCCAGTCACCATCATGTTGATCCTGTGCACAACGATATATGCGAGGAACTCTTAAGCTTAGTCTTTGATTCTGACAGAGGCATTCTATGGACTGCTGCATTGAAAAGGGCTTGCTGTTTTCATCCAACACCTCTGTGTTGTGTGGTCTTGCTGTGAAAAAGAAGACAATACCTTGTTTTCAGTTTAAGTAGGACCACTGGAGGATGCAATTATCGGGACTGTTTTTAAAACCTAAAAGCACGTTTCTTTAGCTGAACTCTGAAGGGACAGTAAAGATACAGTATTTTATAAATCAATATTCTGCATCAAAAAGCATCCCAACACTTTGAGAGGCCAAGGTGGGAGGATCGCACGAGCCCAGGAGTTTGGGACTAGCCCTGGCAACATAGTGAGACCCTGTCTCTACCAAAAATTTTAAAAAGCTGGGTGTGGTGGCACATGCCTGTAGCCCTAGCTACTCAGGAGGCTGAGGTGGTAAGACTGCTTGAGTCTGGGAGGTGAAGGCTACAGTGAGCTGTGGTCGTGCCACTACACTCTAGCCTGGGTGACAGAATGAGACCTTGTCTCAAAAAAAATAAAATAATAAAATTTAAAAAAATCCTTCATTTATCTCTACTTATGTTTAGATAGACAACTGCATCCTGAAATAGGATGGATTTTGTTCAGGTTAATATTAGAAGAGACCTGCTCTGATACTACATACAACAGAAAGGCAGTTTGCTCCTACTACATACAACAGAAAGGAAAACTAAGGTGGCCTCCCTATTAAACATTTGTTGCACATTTGCTGATATTTATAGTATTTTATAAGAAACTGGCATATAACAGCAGGGCAAGGTGGTTCACACCTGTAGTTCTAGCTACTCAGGAGGGTGAGGCAGGAGGATTGCTTGAGCCCAGCAGTTAAAGGCTGTAGTGATCTGATTCTACGACTGCACTCCAGCCCGGGTGACAGAGTAAGACCCTGTCTCAAAAAAAAAAAAAAAGAAAAAAAAGAAACGGCATACAAGGCTGGGCATGTTGGCTCATGCCTGTAATCGCGCAGCACTTTGCGAGGCTGAGGCAGAAAGACTGCTTGACACCAGGAGTTTGAGACCAGCCTGGGCAACACAGCAGGCCCTGTCTCTACAAAAAAATAAAATGCAAAAAAAATTGGCACATAAAATTAAAGACTGTCCTGACTAGTGCCTGAAATTATGATGAGTTTCTTCAAGTATGAATATATAACCACCACCTGGAAGGTTCAGTAAATGCCCTCATCAAATACACGCTACCTTTGCACACTTTGTAGTATGTAAGATACTTGTGTATTCAGAGTAACCAAAATATTTAAAGGTTATTGGATGTTAAGAAAACAGGCTTACCTTTTAGTGTTTTAAATTTCATATAGTTTCTCAATAGTACTATTGTCTAATAATCAAAATTATTTTATATTTCTAATCTAAACAATATTAAGCTTTCACTATATTTTCTCCGTACCTTCATATTAAATGCTTGAGATTTACTCTCAACTTCACATGTTTGTGCATCACTTTCTTTGCAGTAACTTTCTGCCCCAACTGTATCCATAATATTGCTTCCACAATTCTGCGTATTATAGCCACTATCCATCTGACAGGAGAAAAAAGAAAAAAATATATTGTGAGGAACTTAAAAGTCAAATATTTAAATAAGTAAACCACTATAAACTCTCATTCACTACATCTGAATGATCCTAACATGTAATATTGATCATGTTGAACAAAATTCAAAAGTAATGCACAAATATAAAAGGTAGTCCTGCATAGTACTGATTATTGTAGTCATTTTACAATTCCTTCCAATGAAATATATCTTGTAACTTCCTTAAGAATCAGTGAACAGCCTACTGACACAATGCTTTCCTGTTATTTTGTGATCGTACCTAGTAGACAAAAATGAGTATTACAACTAACTTCACCTTCCAACGCATTTTCCAGGCTTGTCTCTAAATGGCTTGAGGCATGCTGCCTTTAAAAAAGTGGATTATATTATATTTACACCTAGTTGTTCACAATAATGCCACATATATAATGGCTCTAGATGTTAGTTCAGCTTTTCATGTTAATAAAAATTGTAGCATCCTAAGATACACTGTTTCAGTGCAAAAGAGCAAAAAAGAAAGATTCTAGCGAACTTCCAGCTTGGAAACATTTATTGAGTGTCTAAAAAGGCCAGGCACTATCTCTATATATTTAATATTTTTTTCTCCTTTCAACAACCCTAATACTTTACTAGAGAAGGAAATTAAGGCTTAAAAAGCTTAACTTTCACAATGTCATCCAGTGATGAGGTGATGAAGATGTGAGACCTAAGTCCAGGTTCTGTTCACTGCACAACGCTCCATTTACCTGTATAATGCTGAGCACCAAAGAAAGCAATCCACAAGGGAATCATTTTGCATTTAAGCCCTCCCTGCAAGTTAGGATCAGAGGGAAGGAAAAAGCTGACTGTCATTTTGTTTCCCTCACAAAGGTACAGACTAGCCTAGAAACGGCACTCTTTATCACTTAATAATCCTGAAAAAATGTTCCCAGATTTCAAGGCTGGATACATATCTGCTTACTACTAGAGGTCATGTTCCAATTAGAACAAAAGCCTTGTGATGTGTAACATTTTTGGGGAAAAGCCTTGTTCTGCTATCATTCAATAGCTACTTGATCAAAAATATAAATGTCAGATTGCTCCCAGAGATTCTGCCAATAGCTCTTCCTTCTAATATTCATCACTGCCAAATAGCTGGCTTATAATGCAATACTAATATGTAACTGGATATATATGGAGGGAAGAGTTACTCATTAGTACAGCAGGAAGTAAGGCATGCGGGGAGTTTGTCCCACACTATGGGAAGAGCAGGATTGATGAGAGCCAAGTTGAGATGGTGGCTGACTTCACTGTCTCTCATCTAGACTTCTGCTAATGTCAATGCCTAATATGTACCAACCAGGCAACAGATACCTTGTTATCCCCCACAGGCATCAAGGCAGGCATCAATCTCACTTTATAGCTAAGAAGGATGAGGGGACAAAAATTAAAAAGTCATGTTCTATTCACTGCTATGTAAATCTTGCCTTAAGATCCCACAGCCTGGAAATAAAAGAACTCTAATTCAAACTTGGTTCTAATTGCAAACTTTATATTCCAGTTGGGTCATGGTGCCTTTAAATGGTGTCTCTATGTCAGTCATTTAACATGCACTTTGTTACTAAATTTATTTTTCTACCACATAAATCAGATGTCATTGTCTTTTAAAACTTTCAATTGGCAACAGTTGTGCCCTGTGATAACATTCCTTGACATCTGGGCCCAGCACTTTAGCCCTTCCCTCATCATTCTCAGTCCCCCTTGTTTGTTACCATTCAAAGGACCTTGCCTTCCATTACTACTTATGTTTTTGCTTTTATTATTATTTTAAACTGACACACAATTACACATATTTATGATGTACATGATATTTTGATATGTTTACAATATGTAATGATCAAATTGGGGTAATTAGCATATCCATTAACTCAAACATTTATCATTGCGTTGGGAACTTTCAAAATCTGCTCTTCAAGCTATTTGAAAATATACGATAAATTGTTAATTACACTCACCGTATAGAGCTATAGAACACTAGAATTACTCCTATCGAGCTGTACTTTTGTATCCATTAACCAACCTCTCCCTATCCCTGCTCCCCCTACCCTTCCCATCCTCTACTACCTACCACTATTCTATACTCTTCTATGAAATCAACCTTTTTAGCTTCCACATGAGGGAGTACATGTGGTATTTATCTTTCTGTGCCTGGCTTATTTCACTTAATGTCCTCCAGTTCATCCATGTTGCTGCAAATGTAAGGACTTCATTATTTTTTATGGCTGAATAGTATTCCATTGTGTATATATACCACATTTTCTTTATCCATTCATCTATTAGTGGACACTTAGGGTGATTCCATATTCTGGCTATTATGAATAGTGCAGCAATAAACACTGGAGTACAGGTATCTCTTTGACATACTGATTTCCTTTCCTTTGGATATATACCTACTAGTGGGATTGCTGGATCACATGGTAGTTCTATTTTTAGTTTTTTGAGGAACTTCCATAATAGCTGTACTAATTCATATTCCCACCAACAGTGTTCAGGCACTGTTTACTTATATTAATCACAATGATCATGCTAATATCCTGTAATCCTATTATTATCCCCATTTAAAGAAGAGGAAACAAGCTGAAAGAAACTGTCACTTTCTGGGATTTATAAAGCTAACAGAGCTGGGCTATAAACTGAAATCTGCCATTACGGTTTCCCAAGCCCATGTTCTTTAATGCCATGCTCGCGCCTCAACTAAATACATTTGCACCCACACCCATCCTGGCACCCTGCCCTCCTTTAAACATGGAGGAGTTACTGCGGCTACTCCTATCAGGGTTCTAGATTCTACCCCCTCTTGCATGCCTCAGTTCCCTCATTTATAAAACAGATCACCATTTGACAGATGACGATATCTATTATATCTGTAAGGTATTACAGGGATTAGCTTCTGACTGTAAAATGCTTGGCATGGTCTCTGGTACTTGAAAAGGACATGTGACTGATACCTATTAATAATTATATTAATAATTATGCTGCCCAACTCCTAGTTTTTAAAAATCTTCTCTCTCTTCATTTAAATGCTGTATGCTGTTTCTTCTGTGTTCCATTACTGGAACACTAAGCATGTGGGAGTTACTTATACCCTGTTGTTCAAGGTCATCGCCAAGGTCTGATTGCAAAAATTCAAAAAATTGCAACCTTAGGCATAAATGGGTTAAGTAAAAACAAAGTAAAAAAGCAAACTACAAAAAGATCTGACTTTGATGCTCTTCTCTAGGTATCATTTTCTTTCCCTTCACAACTAAACTCCAGAGTTATCTACACACGTTATTTCATTACTTCTTCTTTAACCTTCCTTCCATTCACCTTGAGGCTGTTCAGTTATTAATTACTTTTCTTATTAGTCCATTAGCCCCTTTTCAAGCCCAATGTTGCTTGCTCCTATTTTGGCAATGCTAACCATTCTTTCCTGCTTAAAATGCTTCATGACACTGTGCTTTCTAAGTGTCCCTTTCTCCTCTTTGGCTGGTTCTTTTCAGTCTCCTTCAGGGGCTGTACTTCCTTTACCTGATCCCTCTCAATTCTTCCTCAGAGTTCCAAATCCTGGCTCCCCGTTACTCTCAGTAAATACCATCCCTCTGGTTGAACTTAACCTACGTATTCGTTCTGTTTTTGTTACACAAATATTTAATGAGCGGCTATTACGTGACGGGTTCTTTTTAATAAGCACTGGGGATAAAAACATGCATGACTGCTGCATTAGTGGTCTGATTGGAAAGAATGCAAAATGTGCATGGAATCATGAAAGCATATAATGAGGTCTGGCCTGGCTAATGTGATCTGGGAAGGCTTGAGGATGTAATCAATAAGTTGTCAATGAAAAAAATAAATAGGAGTTAACTAAGTAAAATGGGATAGAAATGCTACATAGCATGTGCAAAAAGGCCCTGTAACAAGAGAAAACGTGGCTTTTTAAAACTTTGGAAAGCTAGTGGGACCTAAACAGAGAATGAAGGAAACAAGCTGGAGAGTAGAAAGACCAGCCTTGCCAGCCACATTGCAGACTTTTAAAATTAGTACCGAACGCATTTCAAAAGTGTAGAAAATAAAAAACTCAATAGAAAGGTTATTATATAAACTGGAGGAAATTGCCCAAAAATTCAAAAAAGGAGATTTAAAAAAAAAAAGATTTTTAGAAATTGGAGAATCAAAAGTTGCTCCAGAGAGAACACTAGAAGCAGCAGAGGAGAAATCTAAGATATTATTCAAGAAAAGATCCAAGAAGTGAGGGGAGTAAGTTTACAGACTGTAAGGGCATTCTGAGTGAAGAGTATAATGGATGGAAAGAAACCCGCATTAAAGGACATCACTGAAATTTCAGAACCCTGTAGACAAAGAAAAATGCCTATCCATGTCCAGGGAGTTGGGGATAAAAAGAGATCATAAACAAAAGATTAAGCACTGAAATAGCTTCAGATCTCTCACTGAAATGGAAGCAATGCCTTCAAACTCTGAAGGACATTTCTGAACTCTCAAATGTGAGAGACGGACACATGATCACACATGCAATGTCTTTAGAAATGTACTCTTCCTCAGAAAGCTAGCAGAAAGCTAACCATGTGGCAGAAATGTAATGTATGAAACATTTTTAGTAGACATTATGATGTTATGGCCCAGAGAGTAAAACTGAGACTGCTTGGGGGGTATCACATAACATATTTTTACCCAATAGAAGGAAGAGGTTGTAATAGTAAGAGAAGTTAAAAAATGAATGGAATAGCCCTGCAAGTGTAATTAAGCATAGATAGTTTGACAAGTTAGTAGTGACTACAATTATGGGAGAATATGCTACCCACGGCTTCCAAAGGTTAGTTGGATTAGATGATGATTAAGGTGTATTTCAACAAAAGTATTTTGTAATTCCTCTATATAAAAAAGAGAGAGAGAGAGAGAGAGAGAGAGAGAGAAAGTGAAAAAAGGCAGAGAGTAAAAGCAGCAAACAATGCCTTTAAGGCATATACTTTTAAGCCTATATGTGCTTTTTTCTATTTATGAAACCAACTTTAGAGAAGCTAAAATATGTAAAAGTGATTCTAGTATAATCTTTTTTGAGCAATGAAGCTGTAAGTCAGGATAGGCAACAGAAGCATAAAAATATGAGCAAAATACTATATTTAATTTTGGGTCATTTAGAATCCTTCCCTGAGTTTTAACTTCAGCATGCCAAAACTGACAACACTAAAGCCTTATAGAGTTGGTGTGAGAATTAAATGAATTAATAAAGTGGTTAGAAGAGTGCCTGGTATATCAAAACACTATGTGCGTATTAGCTATTATTATAAGTCAGTATTAACTTTTGGATTAAAGAACATGGACTCTAAAGCCAGACTGCTGGGATCAAATCTCAGCTCTTCCACTTACTAGTTGTATAGAAACTTTAGGTAATTTACTTAACCTCTCTGACCCTCAGTTTCCTCATCTGTAAAACAGGGATAACAGTACACATACCTCACAGGATTGCTGTAAAAATTCAACAAAGTAAAACATGTAAAGGTCTCAGAATAGGACTTGGCACATAGTAATGCTACGTTAGTGTTAGATGTTATTGCTATCCCCTTCTGACTAAAGTCAGAACTTCTAAAGAAGTTCCTTCAAAATTCTCAGCTCAAAGAACACAACAATGAATGGAACAAATGCCTTTCCAAAGTGCTAATTATGAAGTATACGTATCTGTTAAATGAATCAGGTTTTCCTGTTGTCAGAGACATTGCAAAATTGGAAATGTATAATTTCATGAAAAATGTTGCTATAAATCATGTTTCTAAAAGAAAAGCACAAAAATGCATACATAAAAGAACTCTAAGGCCAGGCGCGGTGGCTCATGCCTATAATCCCAGCACTTTGGGAGGCTGAGGTGGGCGGATCAACTGAGGTCATGAGTTCGAGACCAGCCTGGCCAACATAGCTAAATCCTATCTCTACAAAAATACAAAAATTAGCCAGGTGTGGTGACGCACACCTGTAGTCCCAGCTACTCAGGAGGCTGAGGCAGGAGAATTGCTTGAACCCAGAAGGTGGAGGTTGCACTGAGCCAAGATCACACCACTGCACTCCAGCCTGGGTGACAGAGTGAGACCCCATCTCAAAAAAAAAACCAGTGCTCTAAACTCTTTTTATCCCCCCTAAATCACATAAAGGAAAAACAAAAATGATTTTATTTTTAGAATGCAAATACTATACCAGACCTTGCATGTTTTGGGGGACTGGATCCACATGAAACAGTGATGAATCCTGCCTGACTCTAGCAGGATTGATTTCTCTAGAGCAGGCTAATTTCTTTTCTGCTCTTACCTTTTCCTACTCCATACAAATATCAGTTAATGTGAATATAAAATATGCCTTATCTGTCATAATTAAAATAAATTTACTCTTCTCATATCACTTGGTATTAATATTTTTAAAAAATATTATATAATACTGTAGTCCTCATGTTTAATCCATTATCTTTCTTATACTATAATCTTAGAAAGGATAAAGAACACCAAGGCAGTGAGGAAGGGGCTATAGAATATTAAATACCTTACCTGAATGTTACTGCTTTCACAAGGAATGACACTGCTTTCAGCAAGAGGTGACATGCACATATGAGAGTTTTCAATACTGAAGGCAATGCCACTTACAAAATCAGTCATGGGTAAACTGCCATTATCAACCGGCTCCTTAATCCAAGTGGTCTCATCTGCTATCTCTATAGGATCAACCATATCCACAGTGTTATTGTCTTTCTCCCTTTCAACATCCTGCAACAGTGCTAATTCTTTCTCAGAAGCACTGGACTGATTTTGTGTAACAGACATGGCAGTCACAACCAAATGTGTACCATGGGTAGAAGCCTCATTACTAAACTGCCGTAGGTGTATTCCAGCAGCATCCATGGCGGGTGATGAGACATCTGTGGAAGGAATATTCTCTTTATCTTCCTCATCTTCACCTTGAGTCTCAAGAGTAAAAGGTATCTGAATCACTGAGGTCCGATACTGAGTACCACCACTATACATCTGAAGTCTCATAGGAGACCAATTTTTAATTGGCGAGCAGCCATCTATATAAGGACTTCTGATACACGGATTAGTTATCCCATTAGAATTTGTTCCAGATGAAGCATCAGGAGAATGAACAGTAAACTTCCTTTGTTCTGAAAGGTGGGAAGGGAAAAAAAATCACATCATAAAAACATGAAAATGGAAAAGTCACTACTAAATGGTAATCATGTTTCATGCCAGGAAAAACTGCATTTCTGTAACAGTTGTGTTGTTTACCAAAGTGAAATTGTGATGTCAAAAACAATAGCACAAATGGAAATTGCTAAATTTCCTTTGATAGTGTTTGATGTAAATATTGCTAATTAAAGTAACTATATTTAACACTACAGTACAAACTGGTGAGAATTCCAGCCTTTGAAGGTAAACTGTTCTTTTATTTAAAAATCAAAGTTCCTAAATGTTAGAAGGTTAGTGATCATTTTGAGCTCTATCATTAAGACAAATTAAAAGAACCTCTCTAATAACAAATATTGATAGTATAAAACTTTTAACTAGGTATTTTATTATGAGACATACCTGAGAGTGGAGTCTCTCCTATCTGAAATTCAATTGGTGAGAAAGTGGGTGAAGAAATAGGCGAAGGACTAGTTATGCTTCCCAAGCTGTATTTTTTTGCACTAGCCTGAATAGGGCTAGAAGAAAACTGCCCCTGTAATAAAATTAAATAGTAAATAAATGTATATGGTTCTCTTCCTTAACTCTTATGCTGCATGCTATTTATCATGGTCTTCAAAACACACTTATAAACTAGTAATAGTTCACGAGAACCACCAAAAGACACCTTGCAACAAAGACAACTAAGAAGATTGCTACAAAAATTCTGAAATAGTATCAAATATGTTAGTCAAAATATAAACACATTGTATTTGAACAAACCATTAAGTTTCACACTAAGCAACCATCTGTGAAAAATTTTTAAATTTATTAATGCCAAGCCAGTTGTATTATACTGTAAATCTCACACACTTTAGTAAATAACCTATGCTGAATTTCCTTGAGACTCATGATAAATCTGGTCATCCTGTACATATCTAAATACAAAATTGAAGAGTCTGACCTAAAACATCCCTATGACTAATGATAACATACGAACTAGAGTTAGTTTCTGTGAAGCATAATACTCAAAAGACAACCATCCCTCCTTCTGAAAGCAATCTGGGCAGCTCACAGGGGTGTCCAAGGGAGAGAATACAGTCATGAGTTCTTAGTTTCTGTTTCTGGTTAGGCCAGTAAAGGCCCTTCCTCATCCCTCTTTTCCACTTATTTACTAGAGACAGAAAGCAACCATGGCTTCAGGCTGCTGAAAGCCTAAGATAGAACAACAACAAAATGTGGGTTCAAGCTTGACAGCATATTAGCCAACTGCTTTTTAGTATACTTCTCACCGAACTTGGTGTCTGCAAGGGGCTCCTACACTTTACAGGAGACAAATCTATTGAATAAAACATCTCTAGTGATGTTTGAACACCACTGTGAGGACTTCCGGGAGAAGCCGAAGGTAAGGAGTCGGAGATGCTTCCGTTCCCATCTAAAAACAGCTTTCTTCTGAGGGATGAAGAACTGAGGTTTCCAGGAGATTGATCTGCAAATTCATCAGCTCTAAAATAGTCACCTATATTTAATAATAGGAGAAAAGGCAAAGCTAGTCATTTTAAAGGGCAATTATACTTCTGTTACTCAACTTTTAAGAAGCCAGCATGCACTATGTTTGAATTTTTTCCCAAAAAGAGGGCAAAGTTTAATTGCATATTTGATGTTTTACATCTTAAATTATTCCTTAGTTTTTAAGTGCTACATTGTTAGTATAATATCAATAAAATGTTTATAGTTTCTGTCTATAGTAATAAAGTTCACTATGATAATAAGGCTAGTTCAAACCATGTTCAAGAAAAAGAGAAATTTCAGGGCAGTTTCCCCACTTCTTTAGAAAGAGGCACTGCCACATATTTCCCATGTTACCATTTACAAAAAGCCAGCCAAACAAAACCTTTGGTTCAAGTTATTAAAAGTTTAAACAAATACAGTATTTACCTAATATATTTTCTAAATTAAAATCCACAGGAAGAGACAGCAATGTCTGACAAGCAGCTGGAAACAAGCAAATAAATAAACAAATTCAAACATGGGATAAATCAATGAAAGTATACACTATACAATTCAGCATGTGCTGCCCAGTCAATCATCTCCCCGTGATGTTCCAGCCAAATGGAATTATTCATTTCTGCATTCTATCACATACCCTGCCACCTTTCTAGAAGTGGTTTCCCACACTCTCCGCAACTGGTGTAAACGTGTTAATAGTAAAAGTTAACTCCTGGCTCTGGTACTGGCACTTGAAAAGGAAGCCAGCCTATATCTGGGGGGAGATTTCTCACATTAACCAATTTTCAAAAGAATGCTTTCCAAGACCAGAAATCAATTCACATGCTTTGAACAAGAAAACAAAACACTAGTGCTATTTCTAAAACATGGCTGGATGCATCTGTTCTACTATACTTGTTTTTAAAGGTCAGCTCTCATATGGTTATTATGTAGCTCATTGAAAAAATCCAAACAGGCCAGGCTTGGTGGCTCATGCCTGTAATCCTAGCACTTTGGGGGGCCAAAGTGGGCAGATCGCTTGAGCCCAGGAGTTCGAGACCAGCCTGGGCAACATGGCGAAATGCTGTCTCTACAAAAAAATACAAAAATTAGCCAGGTGTGGTGGCGGGTGCCTGTAGTCCTAGCTACTGAGGAGGCTGCGGTGGGAGGATCACTGGAGCTCGGGAAGTCAACGGGAAGTCAAGGTTGCAATGAGCTCTTGATTGTGCCACTGCACTCCAGCCTGGGTGACAGAGTGTGACCCTGTCTCAAAAAAACAAAAATAAATTAAAAAAAAAAAAAGGAAACAATTTCAATTCCAGAGTAAAGTGTTACTACCTGAACTGGGTTTAGAATTCAATGTAGCTTAATATGGAACATCCTTCTTTTCAAATTGTGTTCATACTCACCATCGCTTTTCTCAGAATGAATGGTCAGCTTTTTTCCAACTGGAGAGTCACTATTTATGTTAGTGCCTGTAAGACATTTTAAGTGAAAAATCCTATGTTTTATACTCTTCATTTGCTTTAGCATTACTTTTTCCAAAGTAAAAAATTAAGAAAGTGGAAACTTATTTTGCAACATTAAAAAAAATCTGCATATATAAGTATATATTTTGGTATGTTTCTATTATTTTTTTACCTTTGAGGGAATACAAGGATAAAACTAAAGGATTACCACAGCAAATAAGGAGTCACCAAGCAATATTTTTTTTACATTTTTCTTTAAATAATTGTATACATTTATGGGGTACAATGTGATGTTTCAATATATGTATACACTATGACAAGAGCAAATCAAGCTAATTAACATATCCATTGCCTCAAATACTTTTCTTTGTGGTGGGAACATTTAAAATCCACTTTCAGCAATTTTGAACTATATGATACCTCATTATCAGCTATAGTTACCTGGCTGTGCAACAGATCACCAGAACTTATTCCTCCTGTCTAACTGAAACTTTGTACCCTTTGACCAACATCTCCCCCACCACCCCTCCTCCCTACCGTCTGGTAACCACCACTCTATTCTCTACTTCTAAGAGTCTGACTTTTTTAGATTCTACATATAAGTGAAATCATTCAGTATTTGTCTTTCTGTGGCTGGCTTTTTTCACTTAGCATAATGTCCTCTAGATTCATATATGTTGTCACAAATGACAAAATTTCCTCTTTTTTAAGGCTGAATAGTATTCCATTTTGTGTGTGTGTGTGTGTGTGTGTGTGTGTGTGTGTGTGTGTGTGTATATATATATATATCACATTTTAAAAAGTCCATTCATCTGTTGATGGACACTTAGGTTGACTCCATATCTTGGCTGTTGTGATTAACGATGCAGCAATAAATATGAGAGTGCAGGTATCTCTTTGAAATAGTAATTTTGGTTCCTTTGGATAAATACCCAGTAGTAGGACTGATGAATCCCAAAGTAATGTTTTTTTTTTAAGGAAATGATGATTACTCTTCATGACGTCAACCTTAAAAGGTTAGGGATACCTTTTAGCTACCCTCAATGTCCTCAACAGATTAAAATGCCAGATTATTTTGACAAAACCTGAAATTTGATCAATAAAACCATATAGTTTCTTTCACAAGAAGAGTTAAAAATATGGGTGCAAATTATTTTAACTCTAAAGTTTTATAAATTGAAAAATCACCAGATTAAAAAAACTCAAAAACCAAAACCATCTCAAAAAGACTAATATAAGTAAGATAAAAGGAAGAAAAAGCAAGGGGACCAAACAAACCCCCCCTCCCCCCAAAACCAGAAACAACTCAGGAATTCTAAAATAAAATGACAAAATAGAGTGTAGTAACCTAACAATTCTAAATTTTAAAATGGGTAAGTGGGTTGCTGAATAAATTAAATTTCCCTGTGAAATACTATCAAAACGGGTAAATAAAGAAAATTTTGGATGCAGATGACTTTGTCACTGCATGCAGAGTGACCTTCTATAAGGCAGATGTAATCAATACTCTCTCTGCCTAAAACCCTGCAATAGTCTTTAGGATAAAATCCAAACACCTCAATGGCTTACAAAGCCTTTCAAAACCATGTCTATTTCTCTAGCATGGTTGCCATCTAATTAAATATTATTTGAGTACCTAAAACAAACAAACAAGAAACAGGTATCTCTCTCATCTCTAGGTATTATCTTATGCTCTCTCCTCCCTGCCTTTTCTCCCCTGCATTCCAAGAGTCTAACTCAAATCTCAGCTTAAATTTTATCTTCTGCCAGCATGCCTTCCTTGCCTTCCTCAGACCAGAAAGACACCTACAGCAACATTATCACATCACTTTTCAACTCTATTCCAAGTGTTTTGGTTGCTTCCCCTAGAAGGGCTTAGACAAGTTTAAGACCACAATCAAATGAGGAAAAAAAAAAATCGATGGATTTGACTGCACCAAAATAAAAATTTCTATGCAACCCAGGATATCAAGAACAAAGAGTAACATACATATGACAGAATGGGAGATAACATTTGAAATGTTTAAGACCAATATAACCACAATATGTAAGGTATCTTAGAAATTAACAGGAAAAAAAAGGTTAGCAACTCCAATTGAAACATATCAATGAATTACAAATAGACATTTTCTATGAAATGTAAAAGGTCATTAGTCTATGAAGACAAAAAGAAAACTGAAACAATCATTTAGAATGTCAAATAACCTATAGGAAAGGCAAAGATGTAAAAGCTGGATAATGCCAAGGGCAGGCAGGGATGCTGGGACACAGGAACCCTAGGGACTGCTGGGGCTGTGCAGACTGTGCAGATATTCTAGAGAGCACTCTAATACTGTGTAGTCAGATTAGGTAACGATATATTCTATAACTCAGAAATCCTCTACCTGCGTATATATCCCAGGGAAATTCTCACTCAAGTCCATAAATAAAAACACATGAGGATATGCACTGAAGCACCTTGCTGCATAAATATTAATAATAGTAAATGCTACCAGCACAAGCTAACATGTATAAACAAAACCACTTTTCCCCTCATTCACCATTTTATTTGTTAATCTTTAGGTAGATAACCAAACACCATGTGCTAGGTACATTATCTTAGAGGTACCACAATAACCATCATTTTATAGATAAGGAAACTGAGGCACAGAAAAGCTAAGTAACTCATCTAAAGTCACACAGCTAGTGAGCTTTACTGGGTACAATTCAAACCTAGATAATATTACACTAGAGTAAGGGTCAGCAAACTATTGTTCATGGTGCAAATCTGGCCTTTCACCTATTTTTTTAAATACAGTTTTACTGGTACACACTCACATTCATTTACATATTGTCAGCGGCTACTTTTGTGGTACAGCAGTAGAGTGGAGTGGTTCCAACAGAGGTTGTGTGGTCAGTAAAGGCTTAAGTATTTATTATTGAATCCTTTACACTTAAGGGCTGCCAACCTTGGCCCTAAAGTAGCATCCAATAGAACATTTTCTGTGATGATGGGAATGTTCTCTATCTATACTACTCGATATCCACATGGCTATTGAGCACCTGAAATGTGAATATTGTGAATGGGGAACTCCATTTTTAAATTTAACTTTAAATTTAAATAGTCACACGTGGCCACAACTGTCAAGAACTATAAAGGGTCTAAGATTCTACCCAACTTGGCAACTAACAGGTGAACATGTCAAAGTTCCATTGGTGCTGGCTAAAGACATGAGGCTTCTGGGGGCAGAGATAAAGGACTTTATTATTTTCAGCACAGCAGGCAGCATGAACTTAACATTCCTATTAATTCCCTTTGCTCCCAAGTGCCAAGAAGATGACATGAAACAGTCCAGTGCAGTGAATTCTTATAATTCTGCATACAAGCTGGACTTTCTCATACAAAAAGCAGGGCTCATTCACCCGACACAGTTTCCAGTTCTATACCTCAATGTGGTTGATCCAGATATCTGCCTTATATAAATTCCTCCTGGTAACCACCTCCCTATGGGCCATCTACATATGGCCTACCTGACTGACCCCCCAACCCTCATACCGCACATGGACTACACAGACATGCCACAGTGACTATCTCTCAGTCACTGTGTGACCTCCTCAATGCATGCCTGCTTGCTTTAAACCCACCAACTAAAACTCTGTTTGGATAATGCCCTGGACCCAATAAAGGCGTTGGCCCATGGGTCCCTTTCTCTCTCTTCCTGACCTCCCTGTGTGGTGTTCAGGTATGCTGTGTACCCCTAGGACTTGTAAGTAATAAAATTTTTATTTCCATCTTGTGTCTCTCCTAATCATGGGAGGAGTGCTCTCTATCTTAAAAGATTCTAAATTAAAATACCCAGGTGGCTGGTGGACACACAATGGGTTTTCACCATAGCTAAGGAACCCCAAGCTTAGGAAATCCCATTCTTTTAAGAGAGACTGCAAACAAATCTGCTCCAGAGGGAGACATCATCTTTACTATACTGGACAGCAAAACAAACTTACCCTCTGCTCTGGTGGGACACACTATCTCTACCTTCCAAGACAAACACCCTAGAAAAGATAGTTTGGAACAGAACTTGTCCATGCCACTTCATGAAAGGTGTGCAGAAATGTGAGGCCTATGGAGAATTGTCTCCCAACAACACAGTAAACAGCACAGCTCTGGAGCCTATCCTATTAACCACTGCACTGTTATCGTGGGCTTGATTAGATTTCAAAGAGTCTAAAGTGTTTTTAAGCATCTTCTTGATCCTGCATCACTTGAACTAAAACAGGATACTTGGAATACAAAAATGTTATTTAAAAAATCACTTAAGAAGGTTGATTCATCTGTTGAAAAAATCCAACAGTAAAGAATCTGGGGGTGAAAAACTAGTATCTATGAGAATGCCACCTTGGACACACAATTTTAGAGCTGGGGGGATGTAAATGGACAACTCTAGTTCAATCCTTTTATTTCACAAATAAAAGACTGAGGTACAAAGAGAATAATTTGATCAAGGTCACCTCTCTGGTTTATAAAAGTAGGAGGTTTTACAATCCAGATTTCCATCTACTATTGCGTGCTACCACTAATTCATAATGGCTAAGAATACAGCATCTGATTTGAGAATTTTGAATTCAGGTTTTCCCACTTTTATCATCTCTGTAACCCTGGACAAATGCTCTCATCTTTCTAAAACTAGGTTTTCTTACCTATAAAATGGGGCCAATAATTACACCTACTTCATATGAGTTATAAGAAATTACTGAAAGCACTTAGCACTGTCCTGGCATAGAGAAAGTACTAACCCAGCTTACCTATTATTGTTGTATTATTATGTTGTGTTTTTTGATAAAGAATGGAACAAACATTCCCTCTTATACTGAGAGCATAATTAAGGTATACTACAATAGACAGTGTAATTCCACTGTGATGAGGGATGCATATATACAAGTGATTCCTGAATACTGCCTCACAACCCAAAGAGCAGTGAGAACAAATATATGACAACCATTGCCTGGAGGTAGAAAGATAATTGTTAGCTTACTGGCTTGCCCTTTAATTTCCTTATTAATTTTGCAGATACTCAGCAATAATACACTGTCCCAGAGGTCATATTAAGTCTTCATCCTTTCTTTACCTTTATAAGAAATCAGCAAATTAGCAAAAGGCAACACAATTTACGGTTTTATCTAAAATATTAACCTTCAAAATACTGCTAAAGTCATTAACAACTCATCTCTATATTCAATACCAACTATTTCTTCATCTATGGATCCTCTATAACCATCATTATAACTGACATTCACAATAGTCATGAAGAAAAAGTTAAATTCAGAGTATAACAGCTAAAAAACAATTCAATAAATTTTAGTCAAATTTTTAATTCTAACCCTAAAAGGAGTTAAATTCTATGTTATCCAGAATTTTAAAGCAAGCTTCTTACAAAGCAGATATACTGGCACTTCATGATATGTTGCTTTATATTCACCGACTTTTTTGATTTTTATTCATATCATTTTTAGTACACTCACATTTACTGGAATGACATTGTGAAAGCTGTTTCCCTTCATGATCAGTCCAAGGAGAGGGTACGATGACATCTTTAGTGAAAAACTAGGAAAATTAAAGTCATACAATTAGGCATAAATTCCACCCAAAATGTGAGACGGTACCTGTGTTTTTCCAAGTAATTATTAAACATGTCATATACTAACTTTATAACTGTATGCAAAAATTTTAATACAAATGACCAAAGGAAAAATGGAAGAAATTTAAAGTATATATAAAGAGGAATCTTAATACTTCAAATCAACCAGTTAAATTTGAAACTTGCAAACTAAACTAAGAGGATTAATCATAGACAAAGTATTTTAAATTTCTTTCCCAGGTTTTTTTGATGGGGTTACAAAAAAAAGGATGAAAAGGGAAGGAATATATTAAGACAGAGACATGCAAGTAGGCCAGTATGAATGACGGCACTGAAGCTGGCTTGTTTGTTCTGGCTCTCAAGATCTGATTATTAAATTTTCAAGAATTCTGTGCACCAGTTGTTAAAACCAATATTAAAAATAAAATTATGTAAACTTACAATTAAATATATTAAAAATAAAGGTAACAAATATCCAAAACTCACCACTTGCTAATTATTTTATATATTTATCAATGTCTATGCTCTTGAGGTTAATAATGTATTTTGTATCTGTATGGTGGAATTCCTACATATAATGGTGTGCCACTATTCTTCCTTTCCCATTCAGTGATGTCACATCAGTAGCTTGAAACTGGCCATGGTTGGAGTACTTACACTATGGATAGCAGGAATCGCTATAAATCGTACTCCTTCCACGACCAGAGAGCAAGTTGTTAAACATTCACCAGCACACTACTGGCCAGTATATTCAAATGAGATAGAGCATTTGTATACTTTTCTTTCCTCTTTCATTTCTACCACAGTGTTTTCCCTTCCCTAGGTTTTGCAAGTAACCAAACATATTTTCTTCATATTTTGCTATACATATGACAAAGAGCTAATTTTCTTAACTAAATTACCCATGAATCTAAGAGGAAAAGATTCTTTTTTTTTTTTTTTTTAAAGGTGGACTGGGGCAGATATAGACAATTACCAGAAAAAAAATTAAAGGACCTATAAACTTACAAAGTGATGTATAAGTTCACTCAAAAGTAAAGAAATACAAAAAAAAAAAGTCATTTTTAAAGTAATAGGAGTAGAACAAATTAAGAATTCTGATAATAATCAATATTGGAGATATGGAAAATCAAGCAGTGTCACACTGTAATCAGGAGTATAAACTGGTATAACCTTTTAGGAGGGCAATATGGTAAAATCTACCAAAACTGAAAATTCACAAAGCCTCTGACTTACTAGGTCCATTTCAAGAATATAAAGATATATATACAAATCACTGCAGCATTATTTGTGACAGAAAAATAATAAACACAATTTAAACATCTGTCAACAGGGGCTAGGTAACTATGCTGTTGCTAAGAGAATGTAAAAATCTGTATATGCTGGTTATCAAAAATTTCTAAGAAAAATCATGAAGCAAAAAAAGGAGGATGCAGTATGAGAACGATAATAGTATGAGAATGATAATCCTATTTGTCGAAAATATTTTAAGGACATATGCTATTAAATAAGTAAAATTAATCTGAAAGTACACATAAGAAATGTTATAGTCATTACCTTCATGAAGTGGGATGGGGAAACAGGAGGCTTTTTATTTTATATTTTTTCTTTTTGTTTTTACTATATGTATATGTTTCTTCTATTTTCAAAAATATATATTGAAAAGAAACAAATTTTCTTAAGTTTACCTGCTGGGTTTCTCTTTAAAATTAAGGATTCTTAAAGAAAGTATTTTTTCAAAATGTTGGAAATTTTGAGAGTCTGAGAATATTCAGGTGGGGAAGAACCAAGTGACTGAGTCAGAATGAAAACTGTGCAGTTACTAGATAGAAGAAGAAGTAGGTAATGTTTAGCAGGAGTAAACATAGTCTTTTGTGGTACGGAAGAGCCAAGTACGGCTAAGGAACAGAGGAGGGTTGAGGGGGCTAGAGGGGCAGAAAAGTAAAAATCAGAAATGCTGCCATCACATAAAGACTTTCTGAGGAAAGAACAAGGTAAGTAACCCTTACTTAGATGCTGGGCCAGGCGCAGTGGCTCACGCCTGTAATCCCAGCACTTTGGGAGGCCAAGGTAGGCGGATCATCTGAGGTCGGGAGTTCGAGACCAGCTTGACCAAGATGGAGAAATCCCGTCTCTACTAAAAATACAAAATTAGCTGCGTGTGGTGGCGCATGCCTGTAATCCCAGCTACTCGGGAGACTGAGGCAGGAGAATCACTTGAACCTGGGAGGCGGAGACTGCAGTGGGCTGAGATCATGCCATTGCACTCCAGCCTGGGCAACAAGAACGAAACGCCGTCTCAAAAAACAAAAAATAATAATAATAATAACCTTATTTAGATGCTAAGAAAGGCAATTCAACAGACATAAAAAAGCAAAAAACTTAATTATTTTTATTTTTTAGAAAGCCTACATTATGATATACCTTTCCTGTTTAACAGTAAGAGATTTTATTTCATGAATATCTTAAAAATCCAAAGTATTAACAAAAAAAGACAAAGCCATTCCCAATGCCAATCTAGACTCTGAAGGCCTGAGAATATTCGACTTCCTCTACATAAACTCCAACTTGAAACAAAGTTTGTGCTAATCAACATTTTGAAGGCACAAGGAAGACAAATTGTGCTAGGTCCTGAGAATGAAAGGATGAAGTACAGTATTGGCCAAAAAAGATTGCGTCTAGGGGACAGAAACACTAAACTGATCATTACAACAGTATGCAAGTGCTATGCAAGGTACTGGGATAGCTGGAAATTATTGGTCTTAGGACAGTACAGAAGGGTGCTTTATATAGATGGGACTGTGAAGGGCTTGGAGGGGAGATAGGACAGTGAAGGAATTGAAGAAAGTCTTCCTAAAAGAAGTGATGTACATGCAGAATTGATCCTTAACTGATTTAATGATCAGTAACAGTTTAAGTTACCTCTTCAATGGCTTTTTGTCTTTTGTCTTCCACATCTTTATCTATTCTATACAAAGATAAAGAAGAAAAATAACCATGCTATTACTTAAGCTTATTGAACATTTTAAAAAATAACCTTTCAAATAAATAATCTCCCTTCATTGAAAACTGGCAAATGTTAAGCTCACTTTATAATTAATACTAGTGGTATCTTGTAACATTTAGTAACATTTAGGCAGTATTCTGAAATTCAGCAGTTAGCTGTTAGGCTTACCTCCCTCTTTTCCATTCAAAGTTTGAATGCAATGATACTTTATTTCAAAAGACTTACATTGATATTAAATTGCTTTTAACAATATAAATTTGATAAACTTTGTCCCTTAATACAAATTAAGAAGTATTTAATTCAACATACATCTAAAAATTGTCCAAAGTTTTTCTCTTCAATTATAACAAGTTTATCATGGCAATAATTTTAGAATCAACTTTTACTGTAAAATAGATGAGGATAGTTCACAGTTCTAAACAGTCAAAAATATTAACTCTGAAATAAAACACTGACAATATAACATTTTTTCCAAATGAATTTTTTTTTCACTTTGATACAATCTGCAATTACTGTTATATAAACTTCTCAGCTACAAGATTTAATATAAAATTTTGGGTCCAAGCACAAAGCATATACTTGCCAAGGACTCAGCAGTTAGCTTTCTAGGACCACTTCTTTATTCCATTACAGGAAAGAATCCTTGCCTTCCATCAGTAAATTGGTAAGACATATTTTTTTTTACAATTTAAAATTATTTTGTCTCAGAATTTTTTCTTTAACTTTTATTTTAAGTTCAGGGGTACAAATGCAGGTTACACAGGTAACTTGTGTCACTGGGGTTTGTTGTACAGATTATTTAATCATCCAGGTATTAAGTCTAGAATCCATCAGTTATTTTTCCTGATCTCCCTCCTCTCACCCTCCACCAGGCCCCAGTGTGTGCTGTTCCCCTCTATATGTCCACATGCTCTCATCATTTAGCTCCCACTTATAAGTGAGAACATGAGGGGTTTGGTTTTCTGTTCCTGTATTAGTTTGCTAAGAATAATGGCCTCCAGCTGCATCCATGTCCATGCAAAGGACGCGATCTCATGCTTTTTGTGGCTGCATAGTATTCCATGGTGTGAATTTTTTTCACATATAGACTTGCTCATGGCTTAATAAAGCTTATATGAGAATGTATACATTTCAGAAATTAAGTAGATTTTTCAAGTGGGAGAAGTATGAGAAAATAAACTACAGTGTCAACCCACATATCCCAGCTTGAACAGTAGCCATTTTGAGGATAACAAAATGGCCTTCATCTTATCAATGGTTCTCTTCATCTTATCATGGTCAAAATGGCAGCACATAACAAGCTTAGCAAATAGCAAGTAAGCTCTGAACTAGGATTACTGCATTCAGAAACCTTTTGCTACTTCATCAGAGGGACTTCAAGAACATGAAATACTCAGGTGATTGCTGGAAACTGTAAAAATCACTGTGGCCAAATACTCTAGAGTCAGATCAAACAAGATTCTAAGAAGTCATACAGGGGAGAGCATCCTGACCAGCATACCACTGAACACCAGTATGATGCATATAGGTATAGGTGTGGCCTGAATGTTGAGCCTTTGCAGGGTGGCAAAGGAGAGGGGACCTCAGGACTGGTCACCTACATGGCCAAGACTCACCTGCTTACACTGGTATGCTTTTCAGTTACAATTTTCTGTGTGGATGGTGGCATGAAAAGGATGGGAAGAATTGAAGTAGAGGGCTAATATGTAAGAAGAGATACTGAAAGACACTGCTTGTTTCTAAGGATGAAACGAGATGCTCTGTGAAGAATATATTGACTATCCTTGGTAGAAGCCATAACCATTCATTGAATTATATTATTAAATTAAATTATAATATTTTCCCACTCTTTTCCATTCTTCTATATGATAAATCTATGTACTAAGAGACACCAAGATTATCTTTATAAACCTTTGCAGACAATATATCATTTAGTAGTAAGAACAGAAGCACTGTGTTACAACTTTGGTCTAATTATATTTTTGACTCTTGACTCTTAGTATCTTGTACTTCTTCAGTGTTTCTTACAGTCCCTCACAGTACTCAATAAGTATCTCTTGACTGATCAATATAATAATTGTCCATCATTCAATATATTGAAGAAATGAGACAAAATAATTAAGCATAATTAAGTTCGTGTGAAACAAAAAATTAGTCACTGTGACTCATTTGCTTTTAGATATTCATCTCACCTTCTCTTTCAAAGGTATTATTTATTTACTTATTTATTTATTTTATTTTTTTGAGATGGAGTCTTGCTCTGTCCCCCAGGCTAGAGTGCAATGGCATGATCTCAGCTCACTGCAACCTTTGCCTCCTGGGTTCAAGCGATTCTCCTGTCTCGGCCTCCCGAGTAGCTGGGATTACAGGTGTGCACCACCATGCCCGGCTAATGTTTTTGTATGTTTAGTAGAGATGGGGTTTCACTATGTTGGCCAGCCTGGTCTTGAACTCATGACCTCAAGTGATCTGCCCGCCTCAGCCTCCCAAAATGCTGGGATTACAGGTGTGAGCCACCACACCTGGCCTCAAAGGTATTATTTAAATTTAAGTTAAAATCCTTTCATGCTTCATCCTCATTCTATTCCCTTCCTATTAACACTCTGGGTGGACATTAATTTTATGATTGAATGGTCATCATGTTACCAAGCAAAGAGAAGATGGAGGAGAAAAGCCAGTAAGTATTTACCAGAATATCTCAATATGTGTGCAACGTTGTGTGACTGAATTCTTAAGTCAAAGGGAAAAGGATTATCCTTTGTTTTGGACTAACAACATGTCTACCTTAGGACAGCAAATTAAAATCTGGTCATACCATGTATTTGATTTTTTTCAAATATTAAAAAATCAGACTATAAAACATATAAACAAGAGTCCCTAAAACTACAAAAGAATAATAGGACCTTACACTTTGTAATAAAAAACTAAATCTGCAGTACATTAGTGCCTTGAAACCTAAACAACACATCAACAAATAAGACTGCACTGGGTGATATGTAGAATTCTAGAAAATGTAATTCAGATTCCAAGTGAATTGTTACAGTTGGATGATGTCTAAAAAACCGCTCTGTTGCTAATGGATACCCTTCCATTCAGTGCATACGTAACTCTTTGAGGGGGTTTTAGGTTTCCCCAAACATAGATAACAATGAAACAGCATTTTGCTTTACCCCAAATCATCAAAAAGACAAACTGAAACAAGTTAATGGCAGAAGCCACAACCATGTAGAAAAGTGCAAATTTCAAAATGTTCTTCTCTTAACTGAGTGCTAGGGGTACAGAGCTGTCACCTCAGTAGCAGAGGGAAAAGGTTACTTGTAAAAGAAAAAGGTATCTACTCAGGTCTGGAACTGTTGGCAAGAAAATCTTTCTGAATGTAGTTCTTTGAACTCATTCATTTAGATAGAAAAAATCTGCATCAAAATTTTTTCTCCCTGATACCTTTACATAGAAAAATACTCAACATTTAGAATTTCCTACCTCTCTTCACTTGAGAGTGTTATTAGACTTAGGTGCAAGAAAGGAAAACTTACCGAGAATGACTTAAGTATAAAGCTTGACGATGAATATCTTCTGGGTCTATTTCTACAGGATTTATTACAGCTAGTTGATCAATAGACCATCTAAATTTCCCTGGAGTCTTAACAAAAGAAAGTGAGCTTATGAGTAAAGGCAAACTAAAATAGTTCATCAAAATGCTAACCTATGTGAGAAATAATATGAATGGTTATAATATGAAAATATTTTAAAGCTTGTATTTTAAAATTTGACTTTACCATGAAATTAAATGGCAAAGGGTAATCATATCACATTCGATCAACTGACTTAATTGTATCTCTCTCTCTCTTTGTTTAAGACAGAGTCTCGTTCTGTCACCGAGGCTGGAGTGCACTGGTGTAATCTCAGCTCACTGCAACCTCCACCTCCCCGGTTCAAGCGATTCTCCTGCCTCAGCCTCCTGAGTAGCTGGGATTACAGGCACCCGCCACCACACCCAGCTAATTTTTGTATTTTTTTTTTTTTTTTTTTTTTAGTAGAGATGGGGTTTCACCATGTTGGCCAGGCTGGTCTCAAACTCCTGACTTCAAGTCATCAGCCCACCTTGGCAGTGCTGGGATTACAGGCATGAGCCACAGCGCCCAGCCTGTATCTCTTTTAAAATATCAGAATCTTTCACCTGGGTTGGAATTACGTAATACGAGAAAAATCACAACAGAGTAATAAAGATATAAAACTTTCACAATTAACACTCATCAGTGTGATAAACTAAGCCCATGTAAAAGTAAAAATCTCTCACAGTTAACAAACGTCTTTACTTTCACTAAGAAGGAACTGAAATTAAAGTCCTTAGTCACTTTGGAGGTGGCTGCAAAAGCTCACAACATAGTTGATCCTTAAAATAATTATGAATGGCAACCAGTGCTGCCTTTCTGTACTCAACCATGCAACTGAATTAAAGGTTTATCCAAATCCTAATCTGTAATTAGAAATATATTCTAGGCAAATTCAGTCCTAAAAACGCAAGATGCCATACATTCCAACTTTGAGGATTAAGCTGCCGTCAATCTATTATTTATTTTTAGTAAGACCAAGAGATAAATTTTAATGATTCAATTAAAAATCATAAGGTCAGATTGATGAAATGACTCAATATAAACTGCTCGACCTTCCACTAGTACATACTTGCTCATTGTAAAACCTGTATGAAAGTGTAGCAGAAACAGCCACCCTATTTGCAGTTTTTCTAAGTAACTTGGTAGGTTGAAAGATCCAAGGTCAAAAGAACTTATCCAGTGTAGCAAATAACAGTAAAATAAGATAAAGTGGCCCGGGCATGGTGGCTCATGCCTGTAATCCCAGCACTTTGGGAGGCTGAAGTGGGTGCATCACATGAGGTCAGGAGTTCGAGATCAGCCTGGCCAACATGGTGAAATCCCATCTCTACCAAAAAAAAAAAAAAGATAAAGTGATGAAGCCTTTTCTAATATCCTGAAGAACACTTTTCCTTCATATTACTATTGTCCTAAGTACTAATCATATCACCTATCACACTGCCTTGATATTACTCATCTAGTTCTGTTTAACACATTAAAATAGGGGTTAGTTTCTTTTTATAATAGATTGCAAGCTAAGAATTATTTTGACAGTTTCAAATGGTTGGGAAAACAAACAAAAAAATATCTTGTGACATGTGAAAATTATATGAAATTCAAATGTGTCCATAAATAAAGCTGTATTGGAACAGAGTAACATTTATCTCTTTACACATTGCCTATGGCTGCTTTTGTGATACAAGACAGAAGTGAGTAGTTGTGACAGAGACCAAATGACCTGTAAAGCTTAAATATTTACTGTCTGGCCCCTAACAGAAAGTTTGTGACCCATACATCGGAGTATAACCTCCTTAAGGATTTGTGCCTAATGATCCTAACTTGTTCACAGTGTAATCCCTGCTTAGCACTGTATCTGACACATAGCAACACTCAAATAATGTTTGCCAAATAAGTGAGAACAGAATATTAGATGATGCAGCTTCTTCTCTAATGTATTAGTAGCTATATCGTCAACCACAGAATGTAGCTACACCCACAACTGCAGGAAGCTAACGTATGTTCTTGAACTTAAAAAAAAAAAAATCTTCTAGCTAACTTATTAACCTAACCACTAGATTATAATGAACACTACAATTTAAAAAAGTATATTGCAGCTATATATGCTCCATAATGTATTTCCTCCTTACCTTGTAAAGACAGATGTTTACATTTAAAATTATTTGTAATTACTTACATTTAAAATTAGTTGTAAACACTAGTCAGGAATAACTTACTGGTAATTTTGTTGATTTAAAAACAGAAGGACTGGCGAGAGTTTGTTCATGGAGATTAGAATAATCACTAGGACTTTCAAAAGGATTTAAAACAGGGATCCTTCCTGGAGTTTCTGGTGTTATTTGCATCTTTGATTCCTTGACATCTCCCATAGCACAGAGAGAAAACTAAAAAGAAATCAAGAGTATGCATGTTAAAATTACAAAGTCCCATAGATATTAATTTTAACTATTAAAATGTACTCGACAAATGTGTCACAAAAAACAACTCAAAACCTCACACTCTTGGGGCTATGATACAGCTTACAAAAAAAGTATCACATATAAATGTTCTCAACTGATCCTCGAAACAACCTTGAAAGCTATAGCAGTAACTTACTAGTGATATTATTTTGCGAAAGTATTAAGCTCAGAGAAGTGAAGTGGCTTATACGCAGCAATCAAATATGAATGAATTCAGATCTGCCTCTGAGGAAACTAAAGGTTACAACAGGCCCAGATCTCTTCTCAACTAAAGGACTTATAGCTACAATTTTTTTTAAATTCATCATCTCATGTCTCAACACTATGAACATTCTTCGGATACCCTATCCAACTACAGTTGCTATTAAACAATTCTTTGTAGCAAGCAGGTAAGAGATGAGGAAGCTTGTGCCTTTCTTGCACATGAGTCCTAGCCAGAGAAGTATGATTGACAGGGGCTAGGAAATTAACTGCCTGGGGTCCCCTTTCCTCCAAAAATCCTCCTTTCGCCAAGACCTCCCCTCCACCCCTCCCGGGATAGAAAGGGAGACTGCATTACTTGCAATCAAAGGAGGCTACAGAGGCTACACCTTGGCGGGGTGGGGTGGAAAAGAGTCTACTTCTGGAAGGTTGAGATGCAGCCGGCTTCCCTGGATGGAGTGCGAAGGAGGCGTCGCCCCCAACCCTACGTGGCCACTCTTTCTGGTGCCCCTCTCTTCCACACCTACTCCCTGACTGCTCCCATTCACCAGGGGCGAGCGGGCAGGCAAGTCAGGAGCTGGGAAAAGAAACCTCTCCATTCAGACAGGAGGAAAGGCCAGGGACCACAAAGAGCGTACCTACCGGTGCGTACAAAACGAAGCCCCCAGTACCGACTCCAGGGAGCTCCGGGGGCCAGGCCAGCTTCCACGACAGGCATAGACTCTTTAACTCCCCGCTTCCGCGCTGTCTTGGGCCAACCAGGGCACGGGGCTTGTGAGCGACTAGCCAATCGTGTCGTCCCGCCATCCGCGAACCAGCCAATCGCACGGAGGCCGCGTAGGAAATTCGAATGGCAACTCCTCGCTCCACGTTCCGCGCAGAGGAACGTGGCTCCAAATTCAAATCAACGCAGCCTCACGCCGGCGGCGAGCGCGAGGGGCGGAGCCTGCCCGGCGTGGGCCGAGACGCGCTGTGTGATTGCCTCGGAGAGAGGAAGGCGCTCCAGTTCCGGGTCAGGCCCTTCTCCCGCCTCCCTCGGCCTTAGCCATGGCGAGTAGCAGCGGTGCTGGGGCGGCGGCGGCGGCCGCGGCGGCGAATCTGAATGCGGTGCGGGAGACCATGGACGGTGAGTTTCCGTTGCGCTCCCTTTACCTTGCGTGCCTTCCCAGAGCCAAGGCCCCCAGGCGGGAATGAGCCTGGGGAGGACTTCAGGTCCCCTTAGTGCCCCAAACGGCATCTTCCAAGATCTTTGGTAGGGACCTGCCAGGGCCGCAGGGCTGATGGCCCTATCCCTTGAGAGTTGTCTCCGCCGCTGCGTAGTTTGTCGCGCGCGCTAGGCGTTGCGGCCCCTAGTCAGCCGGTTGCGCACCGCGTCCCTCTCGCGCGAATGCCGCGCCCCCTCTATCCCGCATCCCAGGTCCGCCCTACCCGCCCGATCTCCTGCGGTGACAGCGTCACGCCCACCCCACCCAGTACACCCGTTCCCTCCTGCGTGCCGCGTCCCACCCGATTCCCGCCCGGGGCGCTTCGGGGGTCCCCAAGGTTGGGATCCCGGCGGGGACAGGGGCCAGGTGTTTGGTCACCGCTATGCCTCCTGTTCTTCGCACTTAAGTAGGCACCTTTAATATCCGGCGAATGAACAAGTTCCCCTTTGGTCATAATTATCCTAGTTTCCTCTTGAAGCGGGTGACACCAGTGCCCAAGTGCTATGGTGTCGCCTGTTTTCGGCCCCGGAGGCACGTGTGTGTGAAGCCTACACAAGTGTTGCAGAACACGAAATTTGTGTCTTGCGGTTACCCTCTGTCTACCCTCTAATGTCGGTTCTGCCACTTTATGCCCCTGTGGTGAGCTTGGACTAGATACTTAAACATCATTGAGCCTGTTTAGTTTTTTTTTTTTTTTTTTCTGTAAAATAAAACCCTACCTCCAGGAGTTGTGAATATTTAAATAAGACAACCATGTAAAAACATATCAAAGATGATCAATTATTTTTATATTATTTCAGATGGCCTCTCTCTTGTAGTCTTCTTTCTTTGTCTCCTTTTTACTCACATCCACCTGTATTATGAGTGTTTGATCGATGTTGTTATTTGCAGTGGGCCTAGACGTTTTCCAGGGTCTACTCACGTCAGCTTCCGTCTCTGTTAAAAGATAACCCTATGAAATTCTCACTGCTGTATCTCTCTCTCCTTCACCGTAGGCTCTTTTTTTCTTTTTTGAGACACAGTCTTGCTGTAGTTGCCCAGGGTGGAGTGCAATGGCGCAACCTCGGCTCACTGCAACCTCCGCCTCCCGGGTTCAGGCGATTCTCCTGCCTCAGCCTCTGGAGTAGCTGGGATTACAGGTGCCCGCCAGAACACCCGGCTAATTTTTTGTATTTTTAGTAGAGACGGAGTTTCCCCATGTTGGCCAGGTTGGTCTCGAACTCCTGACTTCAGGTGATCCACATGCCTCGGCCTCCCAAAATGCTAGGATTACAGGCGTGAGCCACCATGCCCGGCCTCATTTTCTTATGTAGCACTTGCAGAGGGGCTGCTGGCTTTTTCTGCACTGGTCCTGGTTTTCTTTTCAAAGAATTACACTTTTAGAGCCTTTGCATCTAATTTTTCACTTGTTCAGTATCTACCTTGCTGTTTTTCTGAGAATGTTACTCTTAATATTCAGCTTATTTTTCTATCCTTTTCGATGTATCAACACTTAATAGTTTTATTTTGTAAGTGGATTTATGTATGAATATATATATGTGTGTGTATATAAATATAAATTTACTGTCTTGTATATTTCCTTGGAAAAAGGTAGAGTATAAGACCTCACTTCTAGCCTATTTTCTTAGGTTAGCTGTACTTAGGTTCCTTATGTATATGGCCACAGGATCCCATTTGAACAGAAAACTCACATTTTCTCTGGTGGAATCACTGATGTACAATTGAGAACTGATGGTTTGTGTTGGCTGCATCATCAAGATCTCTTCTGAGAAAACTTGGTGTGAAATGAAGATTATAAAGAGAGTAAGAACACAAAAAAGTGAAGTAAAACAAAAAATGAAGGAGAGGGGATGTGGTGTTACACAGTATTTAAATCAACCCGTGAGATCAAAAATAAAATTTTCAAAACTTTTTGAATACCATTTCTCCCCTCAATGGTAGCATTTGTGAACCTCCCTTTAAGTCATGTGAATTGCAGAACTCTTGGCTACATTTGCATTTTGATCATGAAATGAAAGGATTTTGTTAAAGACATGGAAGGAAGCAGGCTAACTTTCTATTAATAAATTATCTGTGCACCTCACTCTGAAAAGAACTATCTCTGCCAATTTAGAATAAGGTCTGCATGAGATCTCTGCTTTCATCCTTATATCCCTAAAATTCTACACGCTTAAAATAGTCGTGCCTTTTCAACAACACCCCCCTCGCAACCCACTGTGTATGGTTGCCTCTTTTGCTTTTCAACTTTTTGGTATGTTAGGTACTCTCTATTGATTGCTTTTTATACCTTAATTTTTATTTTCCTCTAAAATCGTCCTGTGCATCTGAATTTTAATTTTGATAATTATTCCTTATGAGAGGCTTTATCATAGCACTATTTTTTTTTTTTTTTTGAGACCGAGTCTGGCTGGAGTGCAGTGGCGCGACCTTGGCTCACTGCAACCTCCGCCTCCCAGGTTGAAGCTGGGGATGGGAACCAATTCTCCTGCCTTGGCCTCTGGAGTAACTAGGATTATAGGCGCCCGCCACCACGCCCAGCTAATTTTTGTATTTTTAGTAGAGACAGGGTTTCACCATGTTGGCCAGTCTGGTCTGGAACTCCTGACCTCAGGTGATCCACCCGCCTCAGCCTCCCAAAGTGCTGGGATTATAGGCGTGAGCCACTGTGCCCGGCCTGTAGCACCACTTTACATATATATATGTGTATATATATATATATATATATGTATATATATATATATATTTAGTAGTAAGTACGGGTGCCTGTAATCCCAGCTACTTGGGAGGCTGAGGCAGGAGAATCGCTTGAACCTGGGAGGCGAAGGTTGTCGTGAGCTGAGATTGCGCCACTGCACTGCAGACTGGGTGACAGAGCTAGACTCCATCTCAAAAAAAAAAAAAAAAACACGTTATAGAGAAAGGAGTTAAGAGAATCTATGGTATATAGATTCCATTTGACTAGCACTGCAAGGCAGTACCAGCGAAACAGTCCATGCTACCACCATCAATCCAGTTGCACATTTGAGAAAGAAATCTAGAAGTCAGTCTTGCTTTCTCACCTCCTCTGCCTCCTGTTCTTCACTAAGCCCTTTCAATTCTTGACTCATTTCAGGTTGGCTAAATATCTCCTGTTCATCCTACCCACCAGTCTTTTATCAAAATTGTGATATAACTGGACTTTTTAAAGATTCATTTGATACTCAGCCAAAAAGTCCTTAAAATGCAAGTTTGATTTTTTTATGTTCCTATTTTATATCATCCAGTAGCTTTCCACAGTTCTAAGATCTTCACTAGGACTTACCTCATATTTTATACCCATTCACCCCGTTAATTACATTGCCTTCACAATAGCAGTTCAGGTCTGAATTTACCAAGTTCCCTCTAGTGTAGGGACCATCACACAAGCTGTTTTCTTTGCTCTCAACCATCACCCTTCCTCCTGCCTCTGTATTAGTCTGGTTGATTTCTACTCACTTTTGATGTCTAAGTGTAATTGTCACTTCTTCAGACAAGTCTTTGCTAAACACTGTGTCCTTCCAAACTTGGTAAGATGCCCTTGTAATTTGTTTCAGAAGTATTCCACTCTTTATTTATTTTACTTATATCTGGAATCAGTTATTACTTTAATATCTATCTCTCCTCCTGGACTAATATCTGTGAGGAGTGGGACCATATATACCTTGTTCATAACTGTATTTGCAGCAGTAGCATAATAGGCACAAAATACATATAGTTAGAGGTTGATTATCTCTCATCCAAAAACCTTGGGACCATGTTTTGGATTTCAGATTTTTTTTTTTGTAATATTTTCACATACATAATGAGATATCTTGGGGATGGGACCCAAGTCCAAACACAGAATTCTTGTATGTTTTATATATACCTTATACACATAGCCTGAAGGTAATTTTGGTTTTTTCCCTCAGGGATGCTGAATGAACTGTGTATTGTGCACCTGCATTTTGACTTTGATCCATTATATGAGGTGTGGAATTTTCCACTACGGTGTTATGTCAGTACTTAATAAGTTTTGGATTTTGCGGCATTTCACATTTCAGATTTTGGAATTAGGAGTGTTCAACCTGTACTGATCATATGGTAGGCACTAAAGAAATAGTTTTTGATTACAGGCGATTTGTGAAAATAGGAAGTAAAAATAGGTGTCCATTTGAAAAGAAGGCTTAAAGAAGAAACCACAAATGAGATGGACTAAGAAAACAGCATTGAGTTATATGAAGGGAGGATAAAAGGCAGAGGAGAAAAGCAAGAACAAAGGCATGAAGTCAGGAATAAGCATAGCCTTTATACGTGGGGGGGTCTACCATGAAGAGAACAAACTGGAAACTGGAGAGAGAAGGGAGAGAATCAACTGAAAAACTGTTAGAAGCATCATAGAATTCATCAAGGTGACTGGTGATTAAAAAGTTTAATATGTAGTGTTCCAGTATACTGATGGTAACCACTTAGAATGTACAAGGGCTAAGTAGAATCCATTTGTGAAGACAGTCAAAAATAAAGTGAAGATTCAATATGGTAGATTGAGCACTTGCTGAAACTCTAAGCATATAAAAAAATAGGAAATAGTAAGAAAATATAATTATCAGGATAGACCTGTTCAAAAGCAAGAAGGGAAGTCTCCATTGATTAGGAAGAGAGAGGTTTCCCCCCAAAAGAAAGGAGCAGATGGGAACCACAGCAGGGGATTGTCGGGAATAGAATCTGACAAAGCATGCTACCCTGCCTCACTGAAGTTGGGAGTCAGAAATGTGCCATTTGTCACAGCCAGAGATTGAGAAGCACCATCCATGTGTTTTTTGGATCTGGACCAAAAATACTACAAGGCCTGATCTAGAGGCCTAAAGCTAGGGTACGGCTTCCTATCTTAGAATGGGCCACCAGTCCAGGACACCTAAAATAAATCTATGGAAGATGAGTTTTCAGCCAAGAATGACAAAGCACCTAAGGTAGATGAAAAACATGAGCAACTAACATGGAAAAGGAAAAAGAGGGAAAGTGGTAGTAACAGGGAACTCTTTTTTATTGAGCCCTACCGTATGCCAAGCACCATTCCAAAGGACTGCAAGGCAGTGTCAGCAAAACAAATGGATACCATTCTAAGTGTATCCTTTAATTCTCACACTAATCCTTTAAAACAGGTACTCTTATTATCCTCACTTTCGAGAATGGTGAAATAAGGCACAGAGAGAGTAACTTGCCTACTAAATACTACAGCTAGAATTTGAACACAGGTAGTCTGGCTCTAGAGATCACACTCCTAACCACTGTCTTTTGCTGCTTGCTTATACTCCAAGAAATAGAGATAATAGAGCAATCTCAAATACAGTTTAAGAATATAGCCTTAAATAGACGAAGGCAGGAACAACAGCTGTGAAATTTGTCACTATAAATAAGCATTTAGTTATAAAACAAGTGTTTATGGTGAGAAATTAGAAATTAGAAATCTTGAAAGCTACTGAAATAAATTTGAAATAAATTCAGCAGATAATATGAATAACAGGCTGGATACAGCTGAAGAGCAAAGTATCAGTAAATTGGAATATCAAAACTGAAGAAATGAAAATGGGAAGAGCTGTCATCTTCCAGCCAAGATGGAGTAACAGAGATTAGATTTATGCTTCTACTTGAAACAACCAAGAAAACTCAGGTAAAGCATACAGAACAATGGTTTTCAAGACACTGGACATCAGGCATCAGAGTACAGTGATCCCTTAGAGACAGGAAACAAGCAAAGTGATTTCTTGGGTTGCCCCAGCTCACTGCCTTCAGAGAGTTCCAGGCCTCAGTATAGCAGGGAGAACCCAGTGGACACACTGAAGTGAGTAGGAGGAGTTTAGAAGACCTGGGAGACCAAGGCAGGTAGAGTTTGAATAACAGTACCTGAGAGGGGAGAACTGCACAGAAAGAATGCTGGAGATCTGTAGAAGTGTCCCCCTTAAGTATTCAGAGCATTGATTAGCAGATGTGTGAGGAAAGTACTCAGAAAGCTGGGAGGGAACCATCTAGAAGGATTAGAGTGAACCGTGCACCGTGCTTACACAGGGCTGAGGATAGTGCCTGTAACTACCAGCCAGAATGGAAATCTTTGTAATTCATAAGACATTGGATACAGTACTCAGAATTCTTACCTCAATCATAAGGGGAATAATTAGCCCTATCCTAAACAGGGCTCTGGTCCTGCCTAACAGATCTAAGAAGTAATATCCGAAAGGATCAAACCATTTCCAGATAACGGTATCTCATTATAAAGCTCAAGAATTAGAAATACAAAACTATCCGGTACCTAAGTAAAATTCTAAGTACATGGCATCCAATCAAAGATTACCAGATATGCAAGGCAGAACAGTATGACCCATGATGTGAAAAATTCAGTCAATTGTAACGAACACCCCCCCGATCACACAGATGTTAGAATTAGCAGACAAGGGCATCAGAACTATACTCCATATCTCCAAAAAGTTTAGTAGAGGCATGAAAGACATTTTTTTTTTTAAGACTCAAATTGAACTGCTATTTTTGTTTGTTTGTTTTTTCTTTTGAGACAGAGTTTTGCTCTTGTTGCCCAGGCTGGAGTGCAATGGCGCAATCTCGGCTCACCGCAACCTTTACTTCCCGGGTTCAAGCGATTCTCCTGCCTCAGTCTTCCAAGTAGCTGGGATTACAGGCATGCGCCACCTTGCCTGGCTAATTTTGTATTTTTAGTAGAGACGGGGTTTCTCCATGTTGGTCAGGCTGGTCTCGAACTCCCGACCTCAGGTGATCTGTCCACCTTGCTCTCCCAAAGTGTTGGGATTACAGGCGTGAGCCACTGCGCCCGGCTCAAATTGAACTTCTAGGGATGAAAGTGAATATCTGATATGGAAGAAATGGGAGGGACCTATCTCATGAACATGATAAATACTATAAGAATTTTCAGAAAGACTTAGACTTAAATTAATGGGTGACTAAATATTGATAACTTGTCCATTCTTCCCAAAATAATAATGTAGTTTTTATACAGTTAATCAGAATCCAGTTGGAATTTGTTTTTAGAATTGATGAAAAATGTTCAGTTCATCCGAAGAATAAAATGGCTTATATAAATGAAAGATGACAACGGAATGTTTACCCTACTACATGCAATATAAAGTTAGAAATTAAATGGTTGCCCTTACAAAAGATAGACATGTAACAAATTTGTAAGTATATGGGAATTTACTATGAATAAAGGTGGCATCTCAACTGGGTGGGGAAAACTTAGGTCATTCAATAAATTTTACTGGGGCAACTGGCTCATTTCTGGGAGGAAAAGTTAGATCCTATTTTCCACCCAAACTCTAGGGAGATAAATACTTATGGGGGGTTTTGGGAAATAAACTTCAAAGTGCTGGAAGAGAATACTGGTGGATATAATCTTTTCATGGGGAATAATTTTCTAAGCATAATGCCAAGGGGAAATGATATAGGAAACAATAGATAATATGTTGACAGTTGACTTAAAATATTCTAAATACTCTCTGGGAAGCAATCTTAAAACAAAATTCAGTGGAACCGGTGTACTTACAACCTGTAATGGAAGGGATTCTGAAAATCACTTTGGAAACCAAGTTTCTCTGTTTGTGCTTCTCATGTTAAAGACAATGAGTTCTATCAACTACAATAAAATGCAGTACTATACAAATGAAGTTTAAAAAATATAAGGTTTCATTTTTATTATTAGATTCAACAGACATGATTACGCTGTCAAATTGTTATAAAAGTTTCTAAACACTTTTAAAGCCTTAAATATGTACATTACCTTTTTTTGACTATTGTATGTCAATTCAGCAAATTAAATATGTATATTACTGACTGAGCAGTTCTACTTCTAGAAATTTATCCTAATGAAATAAAATTTAGTATGTACAGATTCTTACCAATATTATTTTAATGAGAGAAACATGAGAGCAGCCTAACTTTTAAAGTAACAGAGTAGTTAAGTATAGTGTTTCCATAAAATGGAATAATATGCGACTAGTTAAACTGCATTTTAAAAGAATACTAAAAAATAAGCAAGTGTTCAGAATTATCCTAAGTATGGTGGATACATGTTAGATATTAAACAAGTGCTAGAATATATAGCAAGATGTAAAAGGCAGTTATGTGAAGGGAAGGTGTAAGTTTATATTTATATTTAAGTTTCTAAAACTAAGTAAAGGCAAGAAAGTATTACATGCAGATTTCCAAAACCTGGGATGCTATGCTAATTCCTTGGTATTGTGCAGTGATATATAAATTAATGAAAGTACTATATGCATATTTTTAAATGCTGTAAGCCTTAAGTTTTTTTTTTTTTTGTATCTTTTTTCAGTTCTGCTTGAGATTTCAAGAATTTTGAATACTGGCTTAGATATGGAAACTCTGTCTATTTGTGTACGGCTTTGTGAACAAGGAATTAACCCAGAAGCTTTATCATCGGTTATTAAGGAGCTTCGCAAGGCTACTGAAGCACTGAAGGTTGGAGATTCCTATTAGTTCATTCTAAATAAAGATGCTTTTATTTAGAAAAATGATTAATGATGAAGTTATGGGAAACATCCTGGTTAAACAAGGTTAAACTAACATGCAACACCACTAGAAGACCAGGAGCTCAATAGTGTATGTTCATATCATAAAAATTACTACTACTAGGCCGGGCGCAGTGGCTCACACCTGTAATCCCAGCACTTTGGGAGGCTGAGTTGGGCGGATCATGAGGTCAGGAGATCGAAACCATCCTGGCTAACACAGTAAAGCCCCATTCTCTACTAAAAATACAAAAAAATTAGCCAGGCGTGGTGGTGGGCACCTGTAGTCCCAGCTACTTGGGAGGCTGAGGCAGGAGAATGGCGTGAACCCAGGAGGCGCGGAGCTTGCAGTGAGCCAAGTTGGCGACACTGCACTCCAGACTGGGTGACAGAGTGAGACTCCGTCTAAAAAAAAAAAAAAGAAAAATTACTACTACCATGGACCATGTTATGTTTTCCCAGAAGTCTGTTTTTAGAATTGTGCTATTTGGTGAGTAAAATTGTGCCTGCTCCAGAAGAGGCATGTTGAGGTCCTAACCCCTGGTCCCAATGAATATGACCTTATTTAGAAATAATGCCTTTGCAGATATAATCAAATTAAGATGAGGTCATCCTGGATTAGGGTAGATCCTAACCCAATAATTGGTGGCCTTAGAAGAGAAATTTGGACACAAATAGCCAAGGAAAGTTAAGGATTTTCTGTGGCCATAAGAAGCTAGAAAGAGGCAAGGAAGGATATTCCCCTAGAGCTGTCAGAGAGCATGACCCAGCTAACGCCTTGGTTAAATATGTATAGTAGGTATGGATTTCTGGCCTTCAAACTGTAAATAGATTTTTGTTGTTTTAACCCACCTAATATGTGGTTACTTTATTATGGCAGTCCCAGAAATCTGATACAGATTTTGGTACTGGGAAGTGGGGTGTTGCTGTAACAAATACTTAAAAGTGAGGATGTGGCTTTGGAATTGGGTATTGGATAGAGACTGGAAAGTTTTAAGGTGCTTGATAGAAAAAGACTAGATTTCCTTGAAGAGGAACTGTTAGTAGAACTGTGAATGTTGAGGCAATTCTGGTGAGGGCTCAGAAAGAAGAGAAAAGAACTGTAGAGAAAGCTTCAGAGTTTTTTCGAGACTAACATTAGGATCAGAATGTTGCTAGAAATGTAAATGTTAAAAGCACTTTTAGTGAAGACCCAGATGGAAATGGGGAACATTTATTGGACACTAAAAGAAAGGTGGTCTTTGTTAGAAAGTGACAGAATGGGCCAGGCACAGTGGCTTAATGCCTGTAATCCCAACACTATGGGACACCAAGGTGGGTGGATCACCTGATGTCAGGAGTTCAAAACCAGCCTGACCAACATAATGAAACTCCATCTCTACTAAAAATACAAAATTAGCCAGGCGTGGTGGCACATGCCTGTAATCCCAGCTACTTGGGTGGCTGAGGCAGGAGAATTGCTTGAACCCAGGAGGCAGAGGTTGCAGTGAGCCAAGATTGCGATATTGCACTCCAGCCTGGGCAACAGGAGCGAAACTCCATCTAAAAAAAAAAAAAAAAAAAAGAAAGTGACAGATTGTGGCTGAATTGTGTTCTATTGTTGGAAGGAAAATAGAATATGTAAGCAATGAACTTGGATATTTCATTGAGGAAATTTCCAAGCAAATTGTGGAAGGTGTAGCCTGATTTCTTTTTGCTGCTTAATAATGTGACACAAATGAGCAATCGAGTAAGGACCTGCTAAGAGAAAAGGAACTAGCATCTGAGAATTTAGAAAATTCTCAGCCTGTCTGAATAACATGTTCTGGAGACAGGGCTAAGAGTGTGGCTACACTTTTGTGAAGACATTAGGTATGTGATAGAGCCAGTCAACCATCTCAACACAAACACTGCCAGCTTGGACAGGATGAAGTGAAAGAAGGCTATCAGATTAGTGGGATTGTTTAGACAGGAAACTGGCTGATAGAGCTGCTCAGCTGAGGGCCCATGTGTTATCCTTCAAGAAAAGGAAAAAGTGACTCCAAGAGCGCCTCAGAGACCATGGGACTGCTGCTGCCACCAGGTTCCCAGAGGGCCACCTTTTTTCCAATTCAAATTAACCACGTTTTAATTGCTCAGATTGGCAACTAAAAACATGTCCTATTCTGTCTTCCACAGACTTTCTGATTTAAAAGCTTGTGATTTTATTTCCCTTTTTATATAGCACTAACTCACTTTGAATACTGAAACTTTAAGTTAGTTCATCTTAAAACTTGTCCAAAACATGGGCTCATAGAGACGGTCAATGGGGGGAAAAACAAACAAACAAATAAAACCTTCTGATACCTGATACAAAGTGACTTCTCTTTTTTCTTACCTTTAAGAAATCAACTATTTAAAACATGCAATTTACATATCTTTCAGATTATTTTCCAATGAGTTCTTATTCTTTAGGTTTGTTTTTGTGCTTTTTAAAATCTCTTGATTATTAAATCTAACTAAAAAGGGTAAACCACATTTGTAGAGCTAAAATGTATCATAAAGAGAATATCCATGCAACCATCACTGCCAGCACCAGATAATCCCCCTTCTGCCCTCTCCCCAGTCACTAACCCCTCTCTCTTGCTCTCCTCTCCAGTAACTACTATCCTCACTTTTATGGTAGACTCTGTATTAGTCCATTCTTGAATTGATATAAAGAAATACCTGCCGGGCATGATAGCTTAAGCCAGTAATCCCAGTACTTTGGGAGGCTGAGGTGGGCAGAGCACTTGAAGTCAGGAGTTCAAGACCAGCCTGGCCAACATAGTGAAACCCATCTCTACTAAAAATAAAAAAATTAGCCAGGCATTATGGCAGGCACTGTAATCCCAGCTGCTCGGGAGGCTGAGGCAAGAGAATCACTTGAACCCAAGAGGCGGAGGTGGCAGTGAGCCAAGATTCACACCACTGTACTCTAGCCTGGGCAACAGAGGAAGACTTCCTCTTAAAAAAAAACAAAAACAAAAAAACCGGAGACCAGATAATTTGTAAAGAAAAGAGGTTTAATTGGCTCATAGTTCTGCAGGCTGTATAGAAAGCATAGTGGCATCTGCTTCTGGAGAGGCCTTAGGAAGGTTACAATCATTATGGAAACAAAGGGGGAGAAGGCATGTCACATGGCAAAAACAGGAGCAAGAGAGGGAGAGAGTGAGGTGCCACAGTTTTATGTAACCATAACTCTTAAGAATTCACTCACTTTAGCGAGTACAGCACCAAGAGGATGGTGCTAAACCATTCATGAGGGATGAATTCAGTCAACTCCCACCAGGCCCCACCTCCAACATTGGAGATTACAATGGAGATTACAACATTGGAAATTACATTTCAAGGTGAAATTTGGGTGGGGATGCACATCCAAACTATCATTCCCTCGCTGGCCCTTCCCAGATCTCATGTGTTCTTCTCACATTGCAACATACAATCATGCCTTCCCAACAGTCCCCAAAAGTCTTAACTCATTCCAGCAATAACTCAAAAGTCCAAAGTTCTGAGACAAGGCAAGTCCCTTCCACCTATGAGCCTGTAAAATCTAAAACAAGTTATTTACTTCCAAGACACAATGGGATTATAGACATTGGGTAAACATTCCCATCCCAAAATGGGTAAATCAGCCAAATGAAAGAGGCTACAGGCCCCATACAAGTTCCAAACCCAGCAGGGTAGTCATTAAATCTTAAAGCTCCAAAAAAATCTCCTTTGACTCTGTGTCCCACATGCAGGACACACTGGTGGGAGGGGTATGCTCCCAAGGCCTTGAGCAACTCTGCCCCTGTGGCTTTACAGGGTTAAGCCCCCATGGCTGCTTTCGTGGGCTGGCATTGTTGAGTGTCTGCAGCTTTTCAAGGCTCAGGGTACAAGCTGTCAGTGGATCTACCATTCTGGGGTTGGAGAACGGTGGCCCTCTTCTCACAGCTCCATTCGGCAGTTCCCCAGTGAGGACATTGTGTAGGGGCTCCAACCCCATATTTCCCCTCTGCACTACTCTAGTAGAGATTCTCCATGAGGGCTCCACCCCTGAAGCAGGCTTCTGCCTAGATACCCAGGCTTTTCCATATATCCTCTGAAATCTAGATGGAGGCTGCCAAGCCTCAGCCATTGTACTCTGTGCACCCACAGGCTTGACACCACATGAAAGTCACCAAGGCTTATGTCTTGGATCCTCTGAAGCCGTGTCCCAAGCTATACCTGGGCCACTTTGAGTCATGGCTGGAGCCAGAGTGGCTGGGATGCAAGAAGCAATGTCCCAAGGCTGTGGAGGGCTGCGGGGCCCTGAGCCTGGCCCATAAAACCATTCTATCCTAGTTCTCAGGGCCTGTAATGGGAAGGGCTGCCTCTTAGATCTCTGAAATGTTGTCTAGGCCTTTTACCCATTATCTTGGCTATCAGCACTTGCCTTCTATTTAGATTCAGAAATTTCTCTAGCAAGTGGTTGCTTTGCAGCCCCCTTGAATTCTCCTGAAAATGGGCTTTTCTTTTCTACCACATGGACAGGTTGCACATTTTCTAAACTTTTATGCTCTGCCTCCCCTTTAAGTATAAGTTCCAGCCTTAGGTTATTTCTTTGCTCATGCATCTGAGCATATGCTGTTAGAAGGAGCCATGCAACATGTTGAACACTTGGCTGCTTAGAAATTTCTTCCACCAGATACCCTAAATCACTCTCAAGTCCAAACTTCCACAGATCCCTAGGACATGGGCACAATGCAGCCAAATTTTTTGCTAAAGCATAACATGCATGACCTTTGCTCCAGGTCCTGATCCTGGGCCTCGGAGACTGTCATGGGAAGGGCCGTGTCTTAGATCTCTGAAATGCTGTCTAGGCCTTTTACCCATTATCTTGGCTATCAGCACTTGTCTCCTATTTAGATAGGGAAGTTTCTTTTTTACCTCAAACCTTTGGCTTTCATATGGCAGAAAGAAAAATAACTGAATAACAAGAATAGCTAATATTTATATGAATACTTTTCTCATGCCAGACCGTATGTTCTACAGGCTTTACTGGCATTATTTCCTCTATCATTATAACAGTGATAACTACTACAGTTTGAGCATTCCAAATCTGAAAATCCAACATGCTCCAAAATCTGAAATACTTTGAGTACCAACATGACACTCAAAGGAAATCCTCACTGGAACATTTCAGATTTTCTAATTAGGGATGCTCAGTCAGCAAGTACAGTCAGTCCTCTGTATTTGTGGGTTCTGCATCCATGGATTCAACCAGCTGTGGATCAAAAATATTTGGGGAACAGGGGGAAGGATGGTTATGTCTGTACTAAGAATGTACAGACTTTTTTTCTTCTCATGATTCCCTAAACAATACAGGATAACAACTATTTACATAGCGTTTACATCGTGTTAGGTATCACAACGAATCCAGAGATGATGTAAAGTATGTGGGAGGATACATGTAGGTTATATGCAAATACTATACCCTTTTATATAAGGCATTTGAGCATCTGTGGACCTTCGTATCTGTGAGGTGGGGAAGATGGGGAGTCCTGGAACTAACAATTCACCATGGATACCAAGGGACAACTTCAATGCAAATTTTCCAAAATTTTAGGACATCTGAAATCAGAAACAGTTCTGGTCCCAAGCATTTCCGACAAGGGATACTTATCCTATGCTACTATTAGTAGTTTACTGCTAAGGAAACTGAAGCTTATGGTGACTAATTTACTTACCTTAAGAACTTTACAGTTAGTGATTGACCTGAGATTTGAACTTGGGCTCTCTGACTTCAGAGTTGTTTACTTAACTACTAAGTTTTCTCCTCCAGTAAAATCTCAAGAATTCCTGAGCCAGCAGTTTAGGAAAAGATGAAGTCGTTATTAGAAACAAGAGTCCTTGGGCTTTAGCATGGGCACATTCCCTGACTTAATATTATCTAATAACTTTTAATAAAAATAAAAATGAGTATTATAGTATTTTATCAGTGTATTTCTGAAATTTTTGAGGGAAAGATTTATTTAGTACACATCTGCCACAACTGCAAGAGTTTTTGTTTTACTGTGCTTGAATTTGAAAGGGAATTAACATAATAGGAAGATATTTTTGTTTTGTACTACAGTTTGAGTGCATATAAGAGAACCAGAGTCAAATAAACCTAGCTGAGGCAGGTGACTGACAAGTGCTTTGGCATAGCATTTTCTTAGGCAAAATATAAGCTACGATATTAGGATAGGCAGTTCAGAAATGCCAATTTAACATAGCTTTTTCAGCTTTTAGCATACTAGTTATTCTGCATCCAGTGGGCCATAGTGAGATGTGGGAGGTAAAATCAGTAATTAAGATACACTGAATCAGAAAGTGTTGACTATTTGAATGGAAAATCTGTCTCTCACATACACAAAGCCTCTTAAAATGCATTTCTCCTATGATCTAGAAACAGTATACTAGCATCACATTAAAACTAGGGTGTTTCAGCTAGGCGTGCTGGCTCACGCCTGTAATACCAGCACTTTGGGAGGCCAAAGCAGAAGGATCACTTCAGGCCAGGAGTTTAAGACTGCCTTGGGCAACATAGTGAGACCCCATCTCTACAAAATATTTATTTTAGTTAGCTGGGTATGGTGGTACACACCTGTAGTTCTGGTTATTCAGGAGGATGGCCTGAGCTCAGGCATTTGAGGCTGCAGTAAGCTGTGATTGTGCCACTGCACTCCAGCCTGGGCAACAGAGTGAAAACAACAACAGCAACAACTAGGGAGTTTCTAGCAAACAAGTATTTATTACAACTTGTTTTTTTGAAGTAATTGACATAATCTCTATAATTTTTATGAAAGTAATGCATCCTTATACTTTTAAGATATTTAATTCAGAAAATACAAAAAATTTAAAAAAAAATCACTCAAGATTACCAAAGAGATTGCCTGCAATAATGTTTGGTGAACATCATTCCAGATAGTATCATGCTATTTTAAAAATAAAAGTGTTATACTTGATTTCAGTGAATTGAAAAAGAATAACTCATCGGTTTGCTTCTCCCTGGATTAAAGTCTTGTTCTCTCTTATTGCCATTTGGGACAGAGTTGGGGAGCTGGTGGGTTTAGAGATACACTGAGCCACACCTGCCTTTCCTTGACCACCCTTTTATTGGCTTTACAAGCATAAGGTTCTTCTCCCTGCCTTGTGTGGTTGCTGCTCATGAATTTTTTTCTCATTTTTTTTTTTTGTTAATTTCTTTCAGTTTTAAAATTAAGGTAAAGAGAAATTGTTCCTGCTGTGTTCTATCTTTATCTAGAATTCCTGGTATTTAGAATTTAACTGTATGGTATTTATTGTCTCTTTTTTTGGAATATGTAGGATAACAAATCAAGGGTATCTTGAAATGTTGCAAAAAACTGTTGGTCTGAGACATTCCTTTTTTCTTTTGCTCTTTGGTTGACTATTTAGAAAACAGTAACTATTTTTTGTGAATTTTTTTGCTTTTTACTTTCACAGATTTGTATATTGATGTGGTCTAAGTCATTTATAGTAAAAGTAGCTAGCTATGTATCTCCCTAATTACATAAGTTACTCAACAGCCATAAATAGGCCACTTTATACATATCTCCCACAGCATAAATAGGATTGTTAATTAAGTGCATTTGATTAGTGATTCTTTATTGACATTGAATTTTTATATTATCTCCTTAGTTCTAGGATTTATGTGTAAGCAGTCATCTACATATTGTAATTTGAGAAGTTCTGAGCAAAACCTACTTTCCTGTATCTTCTATTTTAGTACCCCAGTGTCTTAAGTTATACCATTATGGTGGAGTCCTGTGGACTAAGGCTTGCCCTTTCTCTTACAGATGTCCTGTACTGTTACTAATACTTTAGTGTAAATCTGCGATGTGTCCCTGTGTAGGTAGGTCTTATAAAAAGGAGTTAGAAAGGTAAATGAATTAAAATACTAACACATATTTCTAAAATTAAACTTATTTAAAATTATATCTTTTTATATTGATGTTAAGAAATTTTTTAGGTAGGATAATAGTATGGTGATTTGTTTAAGTCTCTAGAAATAATGTATCAAAGTATTTATTGATGATATGGTATCTTGGAATTTCTTCAGAATCACCTGGGAAAGAGTAGTAGTTAGGGATGTAGATGAGACAGGATTAGATAAGATGTTCATTATTCATCTTTTGCTCTTGTTCTCTCTGCCTTGTAGCATGAAAGGTCTTTTTCATTTTTAATCCCTATTACTAGAATAAAACACAGAAACAGACAAACTAATGAAGTCTGTGGCAACAGGTCTGCCATAGGTTAATGTTTCAAGTAGCAGTATGTTTTTTGTGCTCTTAACTATTATTTTAGGTGATATAACTATTTTCCACTGTTAGCCTGTGGACTGTTAACTGTACATTCAAAAGGTAGTCCTGATGTATAGCAAAACATGAAAAGCACTGCATTACTGTGATAAAAGTGGTTCTGTTTTATGGGGAATAGTTGTTTGTTAATGACAGTGCAGTATTGACAAATTTATCTTCATGATGCCTCTTTTTCCATGGTTTTATTGTAATGAATCTTACTTTCTTGTTCTAGGCTGCTGAAAATATGACAAGCTGACTTTCTGGAGAAATTCTGATGAGATATGTCAAGCTCTGCAAGAGGGTTTGAAGATTGCATTGTAGTTGAGAATGTACAATGAAATTACTGCATGCAGCAGTGTAGAAAAATTTTACTTTTTAAAAGAATTATAAAACCATAGCTTTATAAATCAGTGGAAAGTGGCTTACAGAGAGAACTATCAGATGTGTTTACATCACATCTTATTCACTTTTTTTAACAGCTCTAATGCTTTGGCATTGCTATGTTCATATTTATGTATTCCTTATTTATAGCTCTGATAGCTTTAATTTTCTAAGCAGTCTGTCTATCAGATGTGCACATCTGCTGTGCCAGGTTGAAGTATAGTGGAACCCATCAGTAGTAATGTGTAGTAGTTATGACTTGTTGACATTTCCATTATAAACTTTAATTTTGAATTGTTTATGCATTATAACTGTGGATTTATATTGTATTGGGCTGAAAGTTGACAGGATTTCAGCCACCACTTGTGAATTTTTATTTAGATTCATTATGTATATCAGAATCTTGTTTTTTGAAATAAGAGCATGGAAAACATTTCTTGTAATCTACTCTTGAACAAAGAATATTTAGTTTTTCAAACAGTTTGTTGGGCAGCTAATAGTGTGAACCAGGTCATTTTTGTATTGAGTAAAAAAATCAAACTTTGAGAAACTTGGATTTTAAAAGTAATGACAATGCTTAGGTTAGTATTATTTGTAATTTGAATCATTTACATCTAATGAGAATGTTAGTTGAGAATGTTTTCTTAAAGTTTTATATCCTATAAATAACGGAATAAAAAAATTTGTAAAATGAAACAACAAACATGCAAAATTCCTATTTACTTTTATTACATAAAAGTAATTTTAGTGCTTACCTAATAAATCTTGAATGGTTATTTAATAAATTATTAGATGGGTGATGTGTTTCAAAAGATACTTGCTATTTTTTGAAGAAATAAGGATTTCCAGTCATTAAACAAAACTAAACAATCTTATTAGATGGGTGATGTGTTTCAAAGGATACTTGCTATTTTTTGAAGAAATAAGGATTTCCAGTCATTAAACAAAACTAAACAATCAAATGTTCTATATTAGGAATCTCAAGTATGGCTTTTTTTAAAAAACCTTTTTAACATCTTGATGTCAAGGATTATAAGTATGGCTTTTCAGAATTGTTTTGTTTGTCATTATTCTTGCCTTTAAAATTTTAACTCATCAAAGTGAAGATTAGAAATAAATTTTAGAAAATGTAGAATAGTATTGATTCTGTTCCTGTAATAGAATCTCAGTGGAGTTTTTTTGCAAAACTAATATGGATTTCATCTGATTTTATTATTTCTTAAATTTTAGATTTTATTGAGTACCATTTATATGATTGTACAAGCATTCACTCTTTACTAGCATTTTTTGTTTTTCAGACAAGCTGAAGTGGTTTTATTAAGATTTGGTAATATTTAAATAGCAACCTTCTCTGCCTTTTTTTTTTTTTAATATAGAATTTTGACCATTTTGACTTTTTAAATGCCTGGCATCTTTACCAACCAAGTAAACTGGAAGATCTGTTACTGGTAGAACAGGTTGAGGAGACAGTAGGAATTTGTAAAAAGTCATTTGATTTATAATCAACACTACAAATACTATGTGTTATTTATAAAATCATAAAGAACACTTTTGTCAGACTCCAAAATTTGTATATACTTCCAGGCCATAAGAGTTGATAGTATTATTTATGACTTTGTAGATTAAGTTATTTATGTATGAAACAAAGCAGGAAAATATATTGAGAAGGGATCGTGTTTACAGAGGACTTCTTTAAAGTGTCACATTTTTAAAATGTAAACATATTTTTAATGCATACTTAAGTAATATTTAAGAAACTAAACAAAATAATGATACAATTGCAGTGTTGTGCTTGTTGTCAATGACAAAAATAAAACCATTTTGGTGGTATTGGCCTGTACTTTTGTTTTAATATATGCTTTTGTTAATTCAACTTGTGTTTCTATAGGACAAAAGATACAGAACATAAAATTTACCATTTTAACCTTTTTTTTTTTTTTTTTTTGAGATGGAGTCTCACTCTGTCACCCAGGCTGGAGTGCATTGGCATGATCTTGGCTCAATGCAGCCTCCGCCTCCTGGGTTCAAATGATTCTCCTGCCTCAGCCTCCCGAGTAGCTGGGATTACAGGCACCTGCCACCATACCTGGCTAATTTTTTGTATTTTTAGTAGAGGCGGGGCTTCACCATGTTGGCCAGGCTGGTCTCAAACTCCTGACCTCAGATGATCTGCCTGCCTCAACCTCCCAAAGTGCTGGGATTATAGGCATGAGCTACAATGCCCTGCCCTTTTTAACCATTTTTAAGTTTCATAGTTCAGTGACATTCAGAATATTCTTATTGTATTGTAACTATCACTATTGTCCATCTCTTGAACTTTCTTATCCCAAACTGAAACTCTGTACCTGTTTAGCAGTAACTCCCCATTGCTTCCTCCTCCCAGCCCCTGGTAAACAGTTTCCTACTTTTTTGTCAATGAATTTGACTATTCTGGATACCTCATATAAGTGGAATCATATTTGTCCTTTTGTGTTCGTCTTATTTTACACAGCACGTCTCCAAGATCTATCCATGTTATAACATGTATCCAGATTTCCTCTTTAAGGATGAATATGTCTCATATATACATGGGAGACAGGTATTCTTTTATATATATGGTGGACATTTGGGTTGTTTCTACCTTTTGTCTATTCTGAAAAGGCTATTCACAATAGCCACAATGTTATGGGCATTGGTATACAAATAACTGTTCAGGTCCTTGTCAGTTCTTTGGAGTGTATACCCAGCAGTGGAATTGCCAGCTTTTAAACATTTTTTTTTAAGTTTAACTTTAATTCCATAGGCATTAGAGAAAGAAGGGGACATGGTCAAGCTTTTTTTGGGAGTTGCTTTGCTAGTGACATGTAGGCTTGATTTGAGCAGGGAGAGGTTAGAAGCAGAGACTAGTTAGAACACTACTGAGTAACCCAGGCCTCAATGCTCACATCTGGGTAGATTCAAGAGACATTACAAAAAATAAACATAGGACTTAATGGCAGGTTATGGGGAAAATAGAAAAGAAAATAAGGTGACTGAGTTTCTAAGCCTGGGTAACAAAGATATTATCAGCAAATGGAAATCAAGAAGGGAATATAATTTTCCTGGAAAAAAATGATTTTTATTTAAAGAGTATTGTGTTTAACATATATATTAAATCTTAAACCTTGCCAATCTTCCAAAGACCATTGCCCATCTCCATTTTTTTTTGTCCTACAGCATTACCACTCTCTAACATAGTATACAATTTACTTAGTTTTATCTATTAATATAAACAAATATACCTCTACCTGAAAGTCCCACAGGGGCGGGGATATTTCTGTGTTGCCACTGGTGTATCTTAAGTGTCTTGAACAGTGCCTAGCACATAAGAAATGCTCAATAAATACATGTTGGCTGAATGAATGGATAGACTGGGCATCCAGGAAACAACATGTACCACGTGGTTGAAAATAACTAACATTGAGAACTTGCTGCATGCAAGGCACTGGTTTTGGTGCTTTTAATAGATCAAATTGTTTAACCTTTAGGCTTACAGCAACCACGAGAGATAGATAGCATCATCCTATTATAGGTCAGGAAGCTGAGGCACAAAGTGGTATACAACTTAAATCTCAGAAGTGGTAGAGCCAGGATTTGAACCCTGGTAAATTGAGTCTGGAGCCCACACACCTTAGTGCCTGTTACTATACATCATCTCATGGGATGAAGAGGCACAACTGGAGAGGAAGATGAAGGAGATTGAAAATCAGATGGCCAAAGTGGTAGTCGAAGCTCTGGATGTAGATGCTGAGAATTTAATAGAAGACTAGTGACAGATGCTTCTCTTTCCCAGGATTGTCCCATTCTTAGGGAATATACCATTGATGATGGTAGGTTGGTGAAGTTTTGTAGCATCTCAGCAGATCTATATTACTGCTTTTTAATTACAACAATGTAAATAAATAACAGGTTAAAGTCATTCCCTTTCCAGAGGTGCTATACTTGAGAAACCCAGTTCTAACAACAAAAAGATCTCTCTTTTATGAAGTTCACTGTTGGGCTCATATATACCAGACTGGAGTATTGTAAATGTTGTAAAAAAGATGGTGCATGTGGTACTCACTTTGGCAGCACATACACTAAAATTGGAACGATACAGCAAAGATTAGCATGGCCCCTGCACAAGGATGACACACAAATTCGTGAAGTGTTCCATATTTTTAATTGCTTCAAAGAGAATAAAATACCTAGGAATCCAACTTAGAAGGGATGTGAAGGACCTCTTCAAGGAGAACTACAAATCACTGCTCAACGAAATAAAAGAGGACACAAACAAATGGAAGGACATTCCATGCTCATGGAAGAATCATGAAAATGGCCATACTGCCCAAGGTAATTTATAGATTCAATGCCATCCCCATCAAGCTACCAATGACTTTCTTCACAGAATTGGAAAAAACTACCTTAAAGTTCATATGGAACCAAAAAAGAGCACACATTGCCAAGACAATCCTCAGCCAAAGGAACAAAGCTGGAGGCATCACGCTACCTGACTTCAAACTACACTACAAGCCTACAGTAACCAAAACAGCATGGTACTGGTACCAAAACAGAGATATAGACCAATGGAACAGAACAGAGCCCTCAGAAATAATGCTGCATATCTACAACCATCTGATCTTTGACAAACCTGACAAAAACAAGAAATGGGGAAAGGATTCCCTGTTTAATAAATGGTGCTGGGAAAACTGGCTAGCCATATGTAGAAAGCTAAACTGGATCCCTTCCTTACACCTTATAGAAAAATTAATTCAAGATGGATTAAAGACTTAAATGTTAGACCTAAAACCATAAAAACCCTAGAAGAAAACCTAGGCAATACCATTCAGGACATAGGCATGGGCAAGGACTTCATGTCTAAAACACCAAAAGCAATGGCAGCAAAAGCCAAAATTGACAAATGGGATCTAATTAAACTAAAGAACTTCTGCACGGTAAAAGAAACTACCATACAGTGAACAGGCAACCTACAGAATGAGAGAAAATTTTTGCAATCTACTCATCTGACAAAGGGCTAATATCCAGAATCTACAAAAAACTCAAACAAATTTACAAGAAAAAACAACCCCATCAAAAAGTGGGCAAAGGATATGAACAGACACTTCTCAAAAGAAGACATTTATGCAGCCAACAGCCACATGAAAAAATGCTCATCATCACTGGCCATCAAAGAAATGCGAATCAAAACCACAATGAGATACCATCTCACACCAGTTAGAATGGCGATCATTAAAAAGTCAGGAAACAACAGGTGCTGGAGAGGATGTGGAGAAATAGGAACACTTTTACACTGTTGGTGGGACTGTAAACTAGTTCAACCATTGTGGAAGACAGTGTGGTGATTCCTCAAGGATCTAGAACTAGAAATCCCATTTGACCCAGTCATCTTTACTGGGTATATACCCAAAGGATTTTAAATCATGCTACTATAAAGATGCATGCACACATATGTTTATTGCGGCACTATTCACAATAGCAAAGACTTGGAACCAACCCAAATGTCCATCAATGATAGACCGGATTAAGAAAATGTGGCACATACACACCATGGAATATTATGCAGCCATTAAAAAGGATGAGTTCATGTCCATTGTAGGTACATGGATGAAGCTGGAAACCATCATTCTCAGCAAACTATCTCAAGGACAGAAAACCAAACACCGCATGTTCTCACTCATAGGTGGGAACTGAACAATGAGAACACTTGGACACAGGAAGGGGAACATCACACACTGGGGCCTGTCCTGGGGTGGGGGGAGGGGGTCGGGTAAAGCATTAGGAGATATACCTAATGTAAATGACGAGTTAATGGGTGCAGCACACCAACATGGCACATGTATACATATATAACAAACGTGCATGTTGTGCACATGTACCCTAGAACTTTAATTAAAAAAAAAAAAAAAAAAAAAGATGGTGCATGTGACAGCCCTAAATAGCAGTCTCAGGAAATCTGTTAACAAGTGACACTGTCCATTAGAATAGGGCAGAATTTTTTTTTTTTTAGCAGTCCAGAGGTCTTTTATTTTAACACCTATTGTGCCATGAACTTATAGGGAATAGGCTCCAGCAGCTCAGACTCCTTCCCATTGGTTCTCACAAAGTGTGCTTCTCTGGGTGGAGCAGGCTGGCACTTCAGTTGCACCCAGGTACCTTTCTCTTTGGCTTCTTTTTCTGATAATTTTCCTTCACATGTTTCAAGAAGCTGTCTCAACTCTTAGAGTACTTAATGTGTTCTTAGTTCTCTTGGCAAGAATCTTGCCCTTAACTTGTTGACAACACTGCCAGCAGCCTGCTGGATAACGTTGTAGACTCTTCCAGTTTCGCCATGGTAACACCTGAAGAGTAACCATTCCCTTGATGTCTACAATATCACCTTTCTTGTAGATTTCGCATATACGTGGCCAAAGGGACAACTCCATGTTTTCTAAAAGGCCTGGAGAACGTATATCAGGTGCCTCTCTTCTTTCCCTTTGTGTTTGTCATTTTGGCGAATTATTGGAAGATGGCGGTTCCGGCCGAAAGGCCAGAATATTGAGGTATCTTATGGCTCCCCAGAAGCTGAGTGAACATGCATGCATGTTATATCAGAAGCGGTCCACACTATGACCTCTGATTACCTAAAGCAGTAAATCGCCAGATGTACACTTGGAGAATTATATCAAAAGCCTTTAAAGAGGTCGTTCAGATAATTTTACTTTCACATATGTGGGAAAACTATTTCACCTGTTTTTTTAGAGGTGAATCTACCTACTCTCCTACCAGCAAATCGCCTTTTTATTGTAACAGCAATACCTTTATTTTGCATGTACTTTGAGAATTAAAATATCCATGACTTCTTAAGTGGAAAAACCAGCATTATTTTCCCATAGCTATAAAAATAATTAAAATTAAATATGGAATTATATCTTTGCTAGGTATTGTCTTTTAAAACTATGATTCTAACACCTACTTTTCCTTCTGTAGAAAAGCAGATGAGCACCGGGCGCGGTGGTTCATGCCTGTAATCCCATCACTTTGGGAGGCTGAGGCGGGCGGATCACCTGAGGTCAGGAGTTCGAGACCAGCCTGACCAACATGGTGAAACCCCATCTACTAAAAATACAAAAATTAGCCAGGCATCGTGGTGCGCAGCTGTAATCCTAGCTACTCGGGAGGCTGAGGCAGGAGAATCACTTGAACCTGGGAAGTGGAGGTTGCAGTGATCTGAGATCATACCACTGCACTCCAGCCTGGGTGACAGAGCAAGACTCCGTCTCAAAAAAAATAAAAATAAAAATAAAAAAGTAAAGCAGATGAGCAAGTGTCAGAACACGGAACTGCATTTCCTCTAGATGTCGCCAGAAGGATTAGAACAGTATTGAAATCAACTTCTTCACTGTGGTATTTAATGCATTTTAAATGCAATGTCCCTGTGTACCACCTCATTTCATCCCATACTTTGGAAAACCACTATCTTAGATAATCCCCAAGATTCCTGTTGGCTCTAATATAATTTAGTAGGCAGCTCAGGCTTTGGTGTCAGACAGGAGGCTTGGACTCGTTGTGCCCTCTCCAAGTCTGACAATAACAACACAACAGCTCACAGCACTGTGAGGATTAAATGGCGATGATGGATATAAAATCCATAGCATTCCACTTGGCACATAGTAGGAGCTTCATAAATGTTCAACTCCATTTTCTTTTGTATAAATTAGACCTACCTAGTAACTTCATTTCAGGAGTGGCTCAGTGGTTGTGAAGTGACATATTTAAGATGTATTTTTTTTTCTCACCAATAGAATTAGACTGAATGTTTTTATAAGTTGTCATTTTAATGTACTCATTTTTGGAAACATATAATGTATTTAAATATAAGCATATACTGTGCTTATATAGGAAGGAAGATAAAGACACCATACTAATAAAAATGAAAGATTAACATGTAGCTAAATTTTAGTGTCAAGACTTGCATAGCTAATTAGAGAAAGGAGCCCATGGGGATGAGAATGTGTTGGGAGAAGAAGTAAAGATTATGAATAAATTTTAAATCTCTATTTTCAACATAAAAAGAGCTCGTTGTTCTCAGTTGCTTCTGATAAACCCAAATGGGAATATCCGTGATCTTTGTTCCTGCTGAACACCGAGAACCATCATGTAAAATAGGAGCAAACAGCTGGCTAAATGAAAGCTTCCTTGGAAGTCTACTGACGGAAAACTGTAGGGAGCTAGGGGCAGTCAGAGAAAAAGCTCTGTAAGATTTAATTTAAGCCCTGGATAAACACCATTCCTGCTTTCACCAGCTTTACCTAATAGAAATGGATTTTGTCAATCAAGGCCAAGTTCAGAGACAATGAGCGAGAGGGAGGGAGGGAGGCGTTTTGCATGGAACAAAGACAAAAGTGTTTTAATTTCACAAAAATACCACTCATGTTAAAATGCAAGACCCTGGGAGCCCTAGGATTTTAGGAAAAACTGGTATTAACCTGACCTTTCAATGTACCAGACATTAGCATGACTTAGATACAAATAATTGTGATAAATTATGATGATCCCTGCATTGTCACTTTCATCAGTTTTGGAAAGGTTTGAGAATCTATGTTAAGATTTAGCAGTAAATGTGGTTAACTAGGGAACCCCTAGGGGAACTAACGTGGGAGAGAGAAAAAGCTTTTTTTTTTTTTTGAGAGGAGTCTTGCTCTGTCGCCCAGGCTAGAGTGCAGTGGCGCAATCTTGGCTCACTGCAACCTCTGCCTCCCAGGTTCACGCGATGTTTTCTCTTTTCTTTTTTTTTTTGAGACAGTGTCTCACTCTGTCGCCCAGGCTGGAGTGCAATGGCACGATCTTGGCTCACTGCAAACTCTGCCTCCTGGGTTCAAGTGATTCTCCTGGCTTAGCCTCCCAAGTAGCTGGGATTACAGGTGTGAGCCACCACACCTGGCTAATTTTTGTATTTTTAGTAGAGATGGAGTTTTAGCATGTTGGCCAGTGTGGTCTTGAACTCCTGACCACAGGTGATCCGCCTGCCTTGGCCTCCCAAGTGCTGGGATTACAGGCATGAGCCACCATGCTCAGCCAGAAGATGCTTTCTCACTTGGGATTTCTCAGGTCTTCTCCCACTTTCAGCACTATGTGCCAAGCTTTGTTTCTCATAAATGCAGATCAGACATACTGAGACGTTACTTCCCCTTCTGGTTAGCCCCCATCACTCTGGAGAGATGCAAGTCCCAGAGGTATCATTTAACTTGAAGGAATGCAGCCCACTAGACAGCACAGGGCGGTAGGGGAGGCGGTGAGAGCAATGGTAGTGGGGTGGGGGGTGAGGTCCTTTGAATTGTTTGCTGGTCCTATCACTCCTTTAAGCCACCGAACAAGATGCCAGATCTTAGCATTGACTAAAGCCCATCTCATGATCCCTGAATAATAGGAACTATAGAGGAAGCACTCCTCTCTTTGGTTTTGCTTGCAGCTTGTCTTCAGCTTCCCATTTCAAAGGTTATTCACTTCCCCTCCTGGTTAGCCTCCATCACTCAGCTGTCAGGCAGCCTGTGCATTTTTCACAATCTAGCCCAGTAGGTAGATTCTAGACAAATAATGAATTCAGTCTGCACTATGCTGGAAACAAGGTAGGAAAAGGGTGCTATTACCATAGTTCTTCCAGAAAACCCAACTAGAATTGGCTTTTCATATACTATTCTAATGCATCTAATTTAACACAGCAGTCATGTGATCAAGTCTCACCCTCAAAGCAGGTATAATCTTTATAACTATTTTCTCTCAGAAAAATTACAGGCTGAATGGGGTGGCTCACGCCTGTAATCCCAACACTTGGGAGGCCAAGATGGGAGGATTGCTTTAAGCCAGTTCAAACCAGCCTGCACAACAAAGTGAGAATCCATCTCTACAAAAAGTTCAAAAAAATTAGCTGGGCACAGTGGTGTGTGTCTGTAGTCCCAGCTACTTGAGAGACTGAAGCATAAGGATTGCTTGAGCCTAGGAGTTGGAGGGTGCAGTGAGCTATGATCATGCCACTGCACTCCAGCCTGGGCAACAGAGCAAGAACCTGTCTCCAAAACAAAACAAATTGCTATTTTATTTCCATAAAATATTTGAAGCGTAAACATAGTCTATAATAAAACAAATAATTGTGTACCTTCTTCACAAATAAAAAATTGTAACAACTTTCCTTATTCACGGTCTAATTTAGGATCATCCCATAAATCAATATTCTAATCATCTTGAAATCTCACATCTTATTCACAGTATCTCCCAGATTCTCACACCTCTCTTCATCCATATAAAGATGAACATTGACACCAACTTTTGCAAAATCAAGTCCTTATCCCTGGAGCCAGCTCACCCTCAAGGGAATTCCAGCACCTATCACTATGCACAACATCCTTAAAAAAGACATATTGAGTATTCACTACAACAAAGTACAACATGTCGTAATAATAAATATTTATCAAATGGATGGCTAAAAAATCATATATTGGTAGCAATAATGCTCACATGAACATTTCCTGCTGCAATTACTAGTATCCTTTTTCTCAGTGTGATCTGGGAGAGCATATTGTTGACTGTTATTATTTTAGGTTAATGCTCTGCCTATGTCTTCATAATTCCCTAGCTTTCTATCACATGGATTGCCATAAAACTTTGGAGGCGTGCCCTCTACAAGTTTATGTGATAGAAGCAAGACAAATCTACTCTCCTCTATTTCTCCCATGAAGCATACTATAAGCTTCAAGAGGACAGTCATGGTGTCTAGCCTGGTGCTTGGCACATAGTAGATGCTCAGTTAAAACATTTGTGAAAGGTCTAGTTAAATGTCTCTCATTTCCCCCTTTTTATTAATATCAGGGAAGTCTGCAGAGCCACATTCCATATGTTCAGGGAAAAATGGAAAAGAACTAAACCTGCTACATGCCAGACATGGGGCTGGATGCCATATGGACGTTACACACATTACCTCATATAGTTTTCATAGCAGCCTTATAAAGTAGGTATTAATATTCTAGTTCTACAGATGAAGAAATTGAGGTCCAAAGAGATCTGTCGTGAAATAAATATGCGCACATAAAATTCTTCCAGCTGGGTGCAGAGGCTCACACCTGTAATCCTAGCACTTTGGGAGGCTGAGGCAGATGGATCATTTGAGGTCAAAAGTTCGAGACCAGCCTGGCCAACATGGTGAAACTCCGTCTATACTAAAAATACAAAAAAATTACCTGGGTGTGGTGGTGCATGCCTGTAGGCTGAGGCAGAAGAATAGCTTGAACCCAGGAGACAGAGGTTGCAGTGAGCTGAGAGTGCGCCACTAGACTCCAAACTAGGCAACAGAGTGAAACTCCTTCTCAAAAAAAAGAAAAAAAAAATCTTCCTCTTGGAACATCTGTTCTTTTCCTCTTACTTGACCAAATCAAACTCAGCCTTCGAGAACCAAATTAAAACTGTCAAGAGAAAGTTCTCCATGGAGCTCTTGTATTTCTATCCATCTTCTGAGAAGATGTTGATAGCTTTTGTCCTGGGCTGTCTTTTCAAGGATGTTTGTGTAGCAAACAACCTTGAAACACAGAGATAGTGTCTTTCACCAGGGCATCGGGCAGATTTGTTTTCTGACCAGGATAATGAGTATAATGGCTCCCTCCAGGACAAAGATTGGACAGGTTTGCTAAAAGCCCCCTTTAGAGAATTGGGGTTTCCTTGGCATGGGGTTCCTCTGCTCTGATACAAACTCACAGCGTGTGCAACATCTTGGAGGCTGCTTTTTATCACCCCTATGGGACTTGGAGGACAAGGAGAAAAAAATGCAAACATGAAGCTCATGGTGCTTGCTGTGCTGTGAGTAATAAAGTCTTTTGTTTCTGACCCAGGAATCTCTCCTTCTTTGCCAGCATCTATGAAAATGTGGCAATCTAACCTTTCAGCTTACAACTCGGGTAAAATCTCAGACTTTTCCACACTTTTCAGATCTTTGTTCTTGACAAAGATCTTCCTTCTTTGGGAAGCCATTTCTAACTACACCAGTTTATGGTGGGATGTCTAATACTTTGGCAGGAAACACAACGTGCTTAATAATGTAAGTATTGGTGAACATTTTTATTGCTTCACACTTGATTATGCTCTTCCAGAGGATAGAGCATAAGTGTTTAGCATTTTTCCTGGAAATAGAAGTTGACTCTCATTTCATTAATTTAACAAAAATATATTTAATATCTATTAACTATAGAACATTCTGGTCAGAATATATAAGTAATTATTTCCCTAAATGATGCCTAAGCTCCTTTAAGACAACACACTATCTAATACTTCTTTTTTATCCTTTGCAATTCTTTGTATCTTTCATGATTCTTTATTCAACAAATATTTACTCAGCCTCTGCTATATGCAGACAGTATATTAGTTGCTGAAAATACAAATGGATAAGACAGTCTTCTCATCCTCAAGGAGTTCATGGAGACAATACATGCAGTACAGGAATAAGCACTATGATAGAAGAAAGTACAGATCATTCCAGGAACACAGAGAGAAAGGCACCCAACAGGGCCTTCATACATAAGGATGGCAGCTAGCTTTTCCACTTCTTGGAATTGTCAGCAGCATATTTTACCTAGTACATGCTGGGGAAAAAAAAGGGTTGATAAAATGAATCAATAATCCGAGCTAGGAAGTTTAGTCAAATCCCAGCTCTGAAATCTATGTATATACCCCAGAATAGCCCATGTAAGACCTGGCTGCCCTATATTAGAAATGGCTTTTAGTAGGCTCCAGTTCTACATATTTAAAATGATACATGCAGCAAGTGTGTTCATATATTCATTGTCTGGAATAGTACCACAGACTAGACAGATGAACAGCACATGTTCCCTGTCCTCAAGATGTTCACAATCAAGTGAGACAGACTCACCGAATTACAACATAGAACTTGGCAGGATGGTGTAATCATTGAACAGGAACTGGAGTTATAGTTAGCAAGCCATGGGAGTTCATTCCACCAGGAACCAAGCAAGTTTTTTGCAAGGGAATTGCCTTTGAGCTGGTATTTAAATGGTTAAGAAAAATACTTCCACAAGCAAAAACCAGACAGTAAGGCAGCCCTTGAAAAAGCTTGGGCAAATGGATAGTCTTTAAAAATAAACAACTCACCTCCCCCCAACTAATTAATTAAGAGAGTTCCCTCTACCTTTTTCTGTATTTAGTTTCTTTGGCAACATGAGGAATGCTTAAGGTGATCCACAGCTGGTCTACCTGCAGACCAAATCAGAAATAGGGAGGGAATGCAACGTTTTGTTTTCTTTTCTTGAGATTTCCAATAAGCCTTTCCTAAATAGTTTAAAAGACAATAGAATTAAAACATATAAATTATGAATCCTCATGGATTTCATTTTTCCACTAGATGGCAGAAAAAGCACTTGTAATGGAAATTACATTGTCATCTATTTAATCAATTCTGCAGACTTTTTTAAATAAAGGGAGGTATATTTCATTCAGTTTGAACAGTACAATATGATTATAGTACAACTGATTATTCCATAACTAATTTAATCATATTAAGCTTAAAATTAAAAAGAAAACTTTAAATTAGTTTGTGTTTATATAAGTACATCTATGTCCAAACATCTCAATTAAGATATAAATGATGGAGTTTCATTGGCTTTAGAATACTACTATACTCTCTTTTAATGCAGACCTTTACATAAAAGGCAGCATTCAATATACTTAAAATTAATACAGAGTAATTTTTTATGTTACACATGGATTTAATTGGGGGTACAAATGAAGTATACTTAATTATGATATAGTGCAGGTAGGGATAATAATATAAGTTTAAAAAGTGATAAAATCACGGCTGTAAACTCAAAATGTTCTCTTAAAAAAAAAAGATAAAAGCTGTGAGGACTAGGTAAATATAGCACAAAAGTTAAATACAGTATATAGCTTTTCTTAGCATGCCAGTAATTCTAATGTGCTTTTTTCCATTGTATTTGTGTGCCATTGTCATTTATCTACAGTCATTCTTCAGAGACATTTGTGATTACACTACTTTACTAGGCACTTGAGTAGAGCTGCATAGACAGTTGTACCCTTACTCTAGTTCATTACAATCAAAGAGAAAATTATTTTATGCACCTACAAGGAGCCAAATGGTGATAAGTGAGTTACACAAAGGAAAATGTGTTAGGAAACAGTAACATAATTTAATAATGTAATATCAAATTGTAAAATAAAAACAGTTCAAAGAAACTAAGTCTTTTGTCTTTATTTCAGCTATTGCTTTTGCTACTGTTTATCTTAGAACTGGCTTTCCAAAAAAATAAAGAGTGAACCATCAGCAAAAAAGGAGGAAAAATAGAGAATGGAAAATGGGAAGTGATGAAATGGAGTAAAGTCCCATCATTCATTCAGTCCACAAACGTTTGTTGAATGTTCGCTCCAGGTCAGGAATGGTGGTGGGAACAGAGACATGGCTTCTTCTCTTACAATGAAAGTACAACAGAGAGAGTCGGGGAGGGGTGAGCAAACAGAAAGCAGTGAAAGAATTGATGAAATTTCATGACAGTTATCATGGTGGTGGTGTTACCCGAGCTCACTTCTCTCCCACCTTTGCATAACTGCCTCCTCACCAACAAAACAAAAAAGTAAAACTCTGGAGTGTGCTAGGAATGCCCACAATCCTCAGGGATCTAGGGAGGGTCTTGTGTTCTGAGAAGGGTGGATGTAAAGCACATCCGTAGTGACTTCCAAGTGGCTTGCTATCTTAGAGAGTAAGTTATACACAGTCCTGGGGTCTCTGGCTTAGAAAACTCTGTGCTGTGGATGGCAAAGATACTTGATCTTATTTTGAGTCAAGGTGAGTCAATAACTTTCTGGGAATAAGCTGCTCACATTTAAGCTGTGCAGTAAATTAGTTTCCAGGACAATGTAATTTCTGAGTAAATTATCTTCCTTGGCATATTGAGTGGAAGGCTATTTTTCATGCCTGTTTCTTTGTAAAGGCAACTGTGGGTTAAAAACAAATATAAATGTTAGAATGAAAGAGAATCTGATCTGGGGTACTTTGTATGAAGAAACATTACATTGGATTTGCAGAAGCATTATTTCCTTGCAGAACCAAATTTTAGAAAGTCCTATTGGTCTTACTTCTGGCACCTCAGGTCCTACTGGATGCTAAATGTGGGACCCCAGTCAGTCTGTGCTCCAGTTTCTTAAATGACATATCATCAAGGATTAGACTTTCAGCTTTTTACTGTAAAGAATAGAGGTTGAAGCAGCTCACTATTCAACTAAAACAAACTGAGAAGAACTCTGGTGCAAAGTCTCAAGGCCGACGCCCTCACCCCAATGTTTTAGGTCTTCAGCTCTCCTTTTGCTCTCCAAATAAAGAAATAAAAATCTGGGCTTTTTGCATAAATTCTTTCTTGTGTTCTGCCCATCTCAATGGTGTCACTGCAAGTGTCTTTCTATATCTATAACCCGAGCCATAGAGTAACTTCTTTAGGACTGTACGAATGGCTCTCTCGTGCTGACCCAGCTCTGAGGAGACTCTGCCCCCAGCACACCGAGTGGTTTTTGTCTTTCTGCTGAAACCTGGGAAGAATGTGTAGCAGGGCTCCTCCGAGCACAGGACCCTGTGGATCTACACTCAGCACATCTTTAATGGGCTCAGAGCAGTGACAGCTGTGACGAATACCACGGCAATTTCCCAGATAAGATTGTATCCGAGTAGGGGCTACATTTCCTTCAGAGCTGCAGAGGCCATTATTATTCTTTGGAGAGGAATTCTGAGGAGGAAATAGCTGATTTAAATGCCTGCTGTCAGTTGCCAAAGAAATTGTTACAAAATACGGCTATAATGATGTGGAAAACTGCCCATTGCTTTGGATCCCACTTTTTTTTGTGTGTTCCCCTCCATTCATCATCTAAGATTTCCCTCTTAGCCAACCAGGTGCATGAAAACTGGTGCGCTAGACAAGCCTTCTAACTTGGAGTCTCAGTTTGGGGTTCTGTCGTGTTTTTTTGTTTTTGTTTTTGTTTTTTTTATGGTTAGCCAGTCATTTCTCGTGACCTCTTAAACACTTGTGTGGTCTTCTGAGAAACTGTGTTTAGCTCAGAAATACTAACCCAGCTTGCCTGGGTTAAATTTCACTTATTCAACAAGTACTTGTTGAGCGCCCACACATGAGAGGGCAGCATAAGGTAGTGGTTTGGAGCCAGGTTTCTGGAGTCGAACTGCCTAGATAATAGCCCTGGCTCCACCAGGATGACTAGTTGTGTGATTTTGTTGTGTGATGTTAATATGAATAAAAATAATAATGGCTCACAGTAGGTGTTCATTAATACGTTCACTACATCTGTAAATAAGAACATTATTACCATCAAGAAATTTAGGCCAGATGCAGTGGCTCATGCCTGTAATCTTAGCACTTTGGGAGGCTGAGGCAGGCGGATCACTTGAGGCCAGGAATTCGAGACCAGCCTGGCCAACATGGTGAAACCCTGTCTTTACTAAAAATACAAAAATTAGCCAACTGTGGTGGCACGTGCCTATAACCCCAGCTACTTGGGAGGCTGAGGCATGAGAATTGCTTGAACCCAGGAGGTGGAGGCTGCAGTGAGCTGAGATAACCCCACTGCACTCCAGCCTGGGTGACAGAGGAAGACACTGTTTCCAAAAAAAAAAAAAAAAGAAAATAAAAAGAAAAGGAAAAAAAAGAAAGGTATCATCTAAGGTCTAAGACAGGACATGTACAAGAATAATATAAAACAAGATAACATTCTGTGTGGGGTCTCCATTTCCCCTCCACAGTGCCCTAGTGGAGGTTCTCTATGAGGGCTGTGCCCCTGCAGCAGGCTTCTGCTTGGGCACCTAGCCTTTTTCATACATCTTCTGAAATGTACATGGAGGCTGCCAAGCCTCATTCAGTCTTGCACTGTATGCCTACAGACTTAACATCACATGGAAGCCGTCAAGGCGAAGAGCTCACACCCTCTGAAGCAGCAGCCTGAGCTGTATCCGGGAACTTTGAGCCACAAATCGAGCCAAGGGGTCAGGATGCAGGGAGCAATTTCCCAAGGCTGCGCAGGGCAGTGAGGCCCTGGGTCTGGCCCACAAAACCATTCTTTCCTCCTAGACCTCAGGGCCTGTGATGGGAGGGGCTGCCACTTAAATCTCCAAAATGCCTTCCAGACATTTTCCCCATTCTCTTGGCTATTAGCAGTTGGCTCTCTTTTAGTTATGCAGATTTCTGTAGCAAGTACTTGCTTCACAGCCAGCTTGAATTCCTCTCCCCAGAAAGCTTTTTCTTTATCTGCCATGTGACCAGGCTGCAAATTTTCTAAGCTTTTATGCTCTGCTTTCTGTTTAACTATAAATTCCAACTTTAAGTCATTTCTTTGCTCCCACATCTGAGTGTAGGTTATTAGAAGGAGCCGGGCCTCATGTTAAATATTTTGCTGCTTGGGAATTTCTTCTGCCAGATGCTATAAATCATCACTCTTTAGTTCAAACTTCCACAGATCCCTAGGGCATGAACACAACACAGCCAGGTTCTTTGCTAAGGCATAACAAGGGTGACCTTTGTTCTAGTTCCCAATAAGTTCCTCAGCTTCTGCAGAGGCCTCAGGAAGCTTACAATTATAGAAGAAGGTAAAAGGGAGGCAGGCACATCACATGGCCAGAGCAGGAGCAAGAGAGTTGGAAGGAAGTGCCACACACTTTTAAACAACAAGATCTCTCAAGAACTCACTATCATGAGGACAGCACCAAGGAGATGGTACTAAACCATTCATGAGAAATCCACAGCCATGGTTCAATCACTCCCAGAAGACCCCACCTACAATACTGGGGATTACAATTCAACATGAGATTTGGGCAGGGACAAATATACAAACTATATCAACCAGTATTCTTAGCAATGGTTTTGTGGTGTGTTAGTTATACGGTTTGGCTCTGTGTCCCCACCCAAATTTTACCTTGAATTGTAATAATTCCCACATGTCAAGGGCAGGACCAGGTGGAGATAATTGAATCATAGGGCTGGTTTTCCCCATACTGTTCTCATTCTAGTGAGTGAGTTCTCACAAGATCTGATGTTTTTATAAAGGGCTTCCTCCTTCACTCAGCACCCATTCTCTCTACTGCTGCCCTGTGAAGAGGTGCCTCTGCCATAATTATAAGTTTCCTGAGGACTCCCCAGGCATGAGGAACTGTAAGTCAACTAAACCTCTTTCCCTTAAAATTACCCAGTCTCGGTTATTTCTTCATAGAAGAGTGAGAATGGACTAATAGAGTTAGGCTCTGCTACAGTTTGGTTTGTTTGACCCTGCCAAACCTCATGTTGAAATTTGATCCCAATGTTGGAGGTGGGGACCTATTGGGAGGTGTTTCAATCATGGGGGCAGATTTCTCATAAATGGCTGGTGCAGTCCTTATGGTAAAAATTGAGTTCTTACTCTATTAGTTCACTCAAGAACTGGTTGTTAATAAGAGCCTGTTACCTCCCACCTCTCTCTCTCTACATGATCTCTGCAAACACTGGCTCCCTTCTGCTGTGAGTGGTTGCAGCCTGAAGCCCTCACCAGAGGCTGAGCAGATGCCATTGCTGTGCTTCTTGTATAGCCTGCAGAACAGTGAGCCAAATAAACCTCTTTTCTTTATAAATTATGCAGCCTCAGGTATTTCTTTATAGCAGCACAAATAGACTAAGATAGGCTCTCAATGCAAATAGACATGTAATATTATTTTTGAAATTTGACCTACCCATTTGTAATTAAATAATTTGAAGAAATGATTCTGAAGTTTTTTGATTTTTGTTTTTTAAAGAAAAGAGCTCATAATTTAGCTCACAATTCTGGAAGTCCAATACCATGGCACCAGCATCTGGTGAGGAACTTCATGTTGCATCATAACGTGTCAGAGGGCATCACATGATGAGAGGGCAAGAGCCTGAAGTTTTTTGGATACATGATTAATGGCTATCATAACTGAAATCACTCACAAAGATACTAGCTGGTAATTGCAGACGTGTAGTGCTTATTTAAAATAATGGTATATGTTTTTAAATCCCAATAAAAATGATGTAGAGGTTGTACTAAAATTTTGCTAGAAATATCTACCTTTTCTATTATTAATACACTGCTTTTGCAAACATGGATCAAACTGGGCTAAAATCAAGGTGCTAACAGAGCTGCAGCTTTTCTAGAAGGTCTAGGAGAGACTTGTTTCCCTGCCTTTTACAGCTTCTAGAGACCACCTGTATTTCTTGGCTTGTGGCTTCTTCTTCTGTCTTTAAAGGATATCACTCCAATTTCCACTTCCACTGTCACCGTTCTTTCCTGATTCTGTATCCTCCTGCACCCTTTTTACAATGAATTGTGATTACATTGGGCTTATCCAAATAATGCAGGAAAATCTCCCCATTTCAAAAAATTTAACTCAATCATATCTCCAAAATTCATTTTGCCATGTGTGATAGTTAATTTTAGGTACCAACTTAACTGGGCCATGGGGTGCCCAGATTGAATATTATTTCTGGGTGTTTCTATGAAAGTGTTTCCAAATAAGGTTGACATTTGAATTGGCGGACTGGGTAAGGTAGATTGTCCTCCTCAATGCGGGTGTCATCATCCACTCTATTGAGGGCCTGAAAAAAACAAAAGATGGAAGATCAACGAATCTGCCCCCTTTTTTCTGCCTAAACACTTGAGATAGGACATCTCATTTCAACTTCTCCTGCTCTCAGACTGGGATTTCTACCATCAACTACCCTGGTTCTCAAGCCTTGGGACTCAGACTGAATTATACCACTGGCTTTCCTGGGTCTCCAGCTTGCAGATGGCAGATCATAGAACTTCTCAGCCTCCATAACCTCTAGACTGCTTTCAGACTGAAGACTTCAACTCCTACTAGAATCTGCAGCCAGCCAGCCTGATTTGAGGACTTCTGGCTTCCCAGCCTCCACAATTTCTTGAGCTAATTTCTTAAAATCTCTGTTCTTCTCTCTCTCTGCTTCTCTATCTCTGTCTCTGTCTCACTGTCTACACATGCAGGCGGACACACACACACACACACACACACACACACACACACGATGACTAATATGAGTTAGGGAGCACTTTCAACCTCTGGGAAGGCATGATTTCAGGCATTATAATAAATTCCAGGTTCATGCGTGATATTAATAAATTTAGCAACCCAAAGTAAAATAAAATCTAGGCTCACTCATTCTTGCTCTAAAGTGTTTCTATCTTTAATCAAGTGAACCTGAAATCTAGATTAAGCAGTAAGTCTTGTTTAGAGAAGCCTCAATGCTGGCAAAAACTATTTAAAATATCATAAGTGATGGAATTGCAGTAGAACTAGGAGGTTTCCTAATTTGCCTCTTTTACTGATCTTACTGACTTTAAGTATTATAAAATCAGTTGATATCAATGTTATAAATACTGTATTTCCTTTCATACGATTGCTTTATAATGATTAGTTAATTAAAACTCTAAAAGCCTTGGTATTAAGAAAAGAGAAACCATGGCTCACTGACTTTGGAAGTGAATTAGGCATTCATAGTAATGTCACATTGTTTCAAGGAAGAAAGCAAGAAGAATGACATTGAAATCATGGGAGGAGCATAAACAGGTATGATATCATTTCTTAGCTTGGAATTTTGCCAAAAGACAAGTGCTAATAATTTTTGCCATAAAAAGTGCCAAGAATGCTCTTTAATGAAAACCACTATTGTGAATTTCTGGGTTCCTATCCCATCAGAAAGTGATGCTGCTATCAAAAAGAATCCACTTACATTTGAACATTTGTAAAATACTGACTCATAAGTGGTTTTCTGGATCCTTGCAACCAGTGGAAATATGTGCAGAAGTATTCTTTAATCCTTTAAAGTGAAAGATGAAAAAAATATGCAAAATAGTAACTCCAGGATTTTTCTAGAGCAGTGTGCTTTCCTTGGGCCAGAACCAATATATATTGGTTCTGTCCTCTCTGTGGTATCCACAGGTGCAGGTTGGGTCAGCAGTGTGGAAGAAGGGGTGTGGGTGTGAAGTCTGAACATGGGAGGCCCTTTGTCATAGATATTATCTCCTTTCCCCAGATGCTTTTAAGGCCCTGATCTTCCCTATTCATTGTCTTGGGTTATGTTCCTTTTTACTATTAAAAATCACTTAACCTATAATCCTCAGACTTTGAAGCTATACATCTTGTGTTCAATCCCTTATTCTATCAATTCACACATAGGCAGTATCAAGTAAGATGTGAGTGCTTCCATTTTGGCATCTGATAGATATAGGTTTGCATCCCTGCTCTACAACTTACTATCTAATATCTCCTCAATAATGCTGCACCACTAGTGTTTTAGTCAGTTTGGGCTGTTATAACAAAATACCATAGACTGCAGCTTAAGCAACAGAGATTTATTTCTCATGGTCCTGAAGGCTGGGAAGTCCAAGATCAAGGTGTGGACCAATGTGGTTCCTGGTGAGGGCTCTCTTCCTGGTTTGCAGATAGCGGCCTTCTTGCTATATCATCACATGGTGGAGAGAGAGAGATCGCTTTACTTGTGTTGTTATAAATGCATAAATCCCATTCATGAGGGCTGCCCCGTCATCACCGAGTCATCTCCAAAAGCCCCCACATCCAAATACCATCACATTGGAGATTAAGACTTTCACATATGAACATATGAATTTCATGGGTAGACAAACATTCAGTTCCTAGCAACAAAATGACCCTAATTTTAGTGACATCAAACAACTGACACTGATTCCCTTGCTCATGGGACTGCAAGTCAGTGGCGACTTGGCTCAGCTAGGCTCTGGTTTCTAGGCTACAGGTTTAACTCAGGTTTATACCATGAGTCTTGATACTCCTGGGACCATTGACTTCCTAGGGAAGGAGTTCTGCTGTCTATATTTCATTATGTGGCTTACAATGAAGAAGGAGCGTTCACATGAAACATACTCCTCTCATGACAGATCACCAGAATGAAAGAGACAAGCCAAATTCATGATGCATATTTAAGGCCTCTGCTCACATCATGTCTGCTAATATTGGATGGACCCAAGCAAATCCTATGGTCAAGTACAACATCAATAATGCAGAGATGTCTACTATGCAACGGTGGGAAGGGAAGAGAGTTTTGCTGAACAATAATCTAAACACCCTGCCTGTGTGAACTTGAATAAATAGCTAAACCTTAGTCAGCCCTAGTGTCCTCATGTCTTATATAGATATGATAATAATAGTAGCTCTCTTTAGCGCTACTGGGAAAAAAGATATGGTCTATAAAGAAAGTAACAGTTCCTGTAGCATAAAGTGCATAAATGCTGGCTCTTACTATGAATTTCTTTTGCATGCATGTAGGCAAGTGAGAAAATGGGAAAAGCAAGATGATGTGGACTAGAGAAGACTAGAGGAGAAATTAAGGGTTGACATCAAAGGAAGTAAAATTGAATCATACATTCATAAAATGGGAACAGGAAAATGGACAGTCTGTTTATTTATGTGGTCAATTCATAACTATGGACATGTTATTAGTTGTTGGACATTTGTTTCTACTGTTATGCTATGTGTGAGAACTGTATGTTCATCATGCTATATAAAAAGGTAGGCAAATGTTGCCAAAACCCATTTTGCTTATGAGGCAATTTGACAAACATGATGAAACTATATACTCAAAGAAAAATACATAACATAAGAAAAGTTCAGTAATTAAAACAAAAATGTGAACCTTAATGAGTATGTTTAAGTAAGCAGTCATTTCTGGAAAGCATCTGTAGTTTGCAGAAATCCTGTATTTGAAGTTAGTTTTCAGTCTTCAAGAGATTTGGTCATTTTAACTGAATTGTGTTTCCTTATGAAGTTTTAAAGGAAGACAAAAGACAACAAATTTAGGATTATAACCAAAGTCACTGGATTACTACAGAGCTGACTGGATTGTTTCTAAGAGACTAAGTTGGATCAATGAACAGTTGACATGGTTGATGACTGCACAGCTTCATCATGGAAACAACAAAGCATATTGAGTTCACTCCACTTTGGCTAACTTGATTGCTGTATGTAGATATGGCCTTAGTCCTGACATTTAATCTCCTCTATTCTCCAATATTACTTCCTTCCATCTGATAAAACCGAGTTTAAAAGCTAAGAATTCCTTAGATCTATTGAGCTAGAAAATGGTCTCTTTCAGTGCATTTAACTACTCAGCTCTGATTTCCATAAATGGAATATAGTGGTATTTGCTTATCTCTAATTCGGAAACCAACTCCTTCCATAAAAATGCTGAATTTTTAACAGCAATAACAATGATAACAAGGGATGGACAGCTTCTCTACCATTTCGCCTGTGTATTTTCAGACTGGTCTCACAGATGGCCTGCTTGGCAGGCAGGAAGAGAACTTACCCAGTGGACAGCCCAACTTTCTTTCTGCTCTTAAGATTGCTTCTTTCTTATTCCTAATTTGCCCTTATCCACTGTGGCTGTAGAGGACAGATCTTCTCTCTGTAAAAGTGAACTTTAATTGAGTGTGCATGTTTGGGGTTTTCATTCCTCTATTTGATCTATATCTGTTCGCCTGCTGTCTTAGTCTGTTTGGGATGCTACAACAGAATACCACAGACTTGGTGACTTATACACAACAGAAATGTATTTCTCACAGCTCTAGAGGCTGGAAGTCTGAGATCAGGGTGCCAGCATGGTTGGGTTCTGCTGAGAACTCTCTTCCAGGTTGCCTGGACCAGAAGGGCTCTTTGCAGCCAGCTTCGTACCATCTTTTTCTCTGGACTTAACATTAGCTCTATTTCTAAGGGACAAAGGACCAGGGTGTGCTCAGTTCCAAGTCAAAGCAAAACAAAGAGAACAAGAAAGGACTGAAGAATCATCTTTTTGCCTCCTCAAAGTCCTTGCTTTTGTTCATTCATTCATTTGACCAGTATTTATTGAGTACCTCCAGTGTGCAAGGCATGAAAGATGTCAGTGCAGATACAAAGAGGAGTAGAAACTTTTATTCTGGAGGAGCTCACAAACTAGTAAAGACTAAAAATAAGCTATTCCAATTCAGTGTGTGCTATAGTTTGGATGTCTGTCCCCCGAAACCTCATGTTGAAATTTGATCTCCAATATTGGAGGTGGGGCCTGTTGGGAGGTGATGGAGACATGGAGGCAGATCTTTCATGAATGTCTTTGTGCCATCCTCATAGCAATGAGTTAAGTTCTCACTCTATTAGTTCCTGTGAGAACTGGTTGTTAAAAAGAGCTTGGCATCTCCTCATCTCTCTCACTTCCTTTCTCGTAATGTGATCTCTGTACATGCTGCCTCCCCTTCACCGTCTTCTGTGAGTGAAAGCAGCTGAAGCCCTCATCAGAAGCACATGCCAGCACCATGCTTCTTGTATAGTCTGCAGAACCATGAGTCAAATAAGCCTCTTTTTTTTTTTTAAATAAATTACCCCACCTCAGGCATTCTTTATAGCAACACAAAATGGACTAAGTGTGTAACTGCCTAAGGGAAGGGAACACATATCTATTTTGGAGGGATCTGGAAAGTTGTTTTCTGGAGTCCGTGAATTTTAAATAAGACCTGAAAATCAAGTTTGCCATATACATAGAGGTTTGGTTAAAAAAAGAAAAGAGTCCAAACAGAGGAAACAACATGTGTAAAGGCCCATATGCCTTTTCATCTCTAAACTGCATTGTATTTCCTTTCAGTCTGTGAAACGTCCTTCCTCAAAATGTTGGAGAAAAATGGAGAAGACAATAGGTACAATGTCCAGGGCACATCAACTTGTAATCAAAAGAGGCGGAGTGCCAAACCTAAAAGCTGGTTGGACTCTCCCTCCTTTTACTTCGATTCATAACACTGTTTCAAGACATCTGTTGTCAAAAGAGGTTTAATTGACTCACAGTTTTGCATGACTGGAAAGGCCTCAGGAAACTTACAATCATGGCAGAAAGCAAAGAGGAAGCGAGGCACTTCTTACACAGCAGCAGGAGAGAGAGAGAGCGTAGGGGAAACTGCCACTTTTAAACCATCAGATCTCGTGAGAACTCCCTCACTATCATGCAACTGCCCCCATGATCCAATCACCTCCCACCAGGACCCTCCCTTGACATGTGGAGATTACAATTCGAGATGAGATTTGGGTGAGGACACAGAGTAAACCATACCAGGGGACATGCTTCTAATTTGTAACAAAGTGTTTTCATATTAAATCTGCTTATGTTAACCCTTCTTGTAAGTTAGATATAAGTAATAATTATAATTATAATGTCTGACAACTATTGAGTTACAACTATAGCAAGGTATTATTGTAAGAGTTTTGGGTATATTAAATCATTTAGTCCTTTAAAAAATCTTACAAGAGTATATATTATTACTATAATTCCCCCATGTTTATGAATGAGAAAACTGACATAGGCAGGTTAAGTAACTTGCCTAAGGGAAATGACCAGGCTGGGATTTAAACTCAAGCAATCTGGCTCCAGAGTCTATGCTTTTAAGCACCACTTTGAACTGCCCCTCCAGGAAAGCCATTGCTGACTAAAGAATAGTACTGTGACAAAATATTATATTGATGAAAACACCAAGTATAAAGAGTAAACTCTAGTAGACACAGGGAGGATTGGATATTAAATGTTTCTAAGTTCCCAGAAAGATGAAAACTTCTGTTTGTGTGTTGTTATATCCCTAATAATGATCGCTAATAATGACATAAATTTCTTGCAATAGTTAAAATGATTAAAAAGTCTCTCCTGAATTGATTTATGCATATACATCACTCATTACTTAGTAGATGTTCATTCATCTCAATTTGCCCTGGAGTAATGAAAACTGCTAACTAAAAATATTATCAATTGAACTATTTGCGAATTACACAAAATATTTGCATCAGATTCCTTTCAACTGGTGTTGAATTTTTTAAAAATCCTGTATAAATATATAAGGCTAGTTGGCCATATAAATGCAAAGTGTTACAGACACTTTGGAAGGAAGTTTCTTACAAAACTAAACATATGTATACCATATATACAATCCAGCAATCTTCCTCCTTTTTATTTACCCTACAACATTGAAAATGTATGTATACACAAAAAAACTACACACAGATGTTTATAGCAGCTTTATTCATAATTCCCAAAACTTGGAAACAACTGAGATGACCTTCAGGAGGTGAATGGACAAATAGTGGAATGTTGTTCAGTGCTGAAAAGGAATGAGCTATCAAGCCATGAAAGATGGAGGAAACTTAAATGCCTATTATAAGTAAAAGTAAAAGTCTGGCTCTGATCTGAAAAGTCTACATACTTAGGATTCCAACTATATGGCATTCTGGAAAAGGCAAAACTATGGAGCCAGTAGAAAAGATCAGTGACTGTTGGAAATTAGGAAGAAGGGGCTGGATGCAGTGGCTCACGCCTGTAATCCCAGCACTTTGGGAGGCTGAGGCAGGCAGATCACCAGAGGTCACGAGTTTGAGACCAGCCTGCCCAACATGATGAAAACCCGTGTCTACTAAAAATACAAAAATTAGCCAGGCGTGGTGGTGTGCACCTGTGGTTCCAGCTATTAGGGAGGCTGAGGCAGGAGAATCGCTTGAACTTGGGAGGCAGAGGTTGCAGTGAGCTTGCGATCACGCCACTGCACTCCATCCTGGGTGACAGAGTGAGAATCTACCTCAAAACAAAACAAAAAAACAAAGAAATTAGAAAGAAGGGAAGGGGATTTTTAGGACACTGAAACTATTCTGTATGATACTGTACTGCTGGATACATGTGGTACATTTGTCCAAATCCATAAAATGTACAGCCCCAAGGGTGAAGTATAATATAAACTATGGATTTGGGGTGATGACGTTGTGTCAATATAGGTTCATCAGTTATAGCAAATGTATCACTTTGGTGGGGGATGTTAAAGTGGATTCTCCTGCCTCAGCCTCCTGAGTAGCTGGGACTACACATGAAGGGCTAATTTTTGTGTTTTCAGTAGAGACGGGGTTTTGTCATGTTTCCCAGGCTGGTCTCGAACTCCTGGCCTCAAGTTACCTGCCCGCCTTGGCATCCCAAAGTGTTGGGATTACAGACGTGAGCCACCACACCTGGCTCTCACTATGCTCTGAAGAGTCCACATGGAGAAGAGAGATCCTGGGAGATGAGGGGCCACGTGGAGAACTGAGGTAGCCCTGGGGAATGAGCTTGAAAGCAGATCTTCTGAAGCTGACCAACAGTGGGGTCTCCCCTGGGAGAGGGAGCTTTGAAGTGACCCAGGCAACACCTTGTATGCATTCTGTGAGCAACTCTGTCTAGAACTACCCAGCTAAGCTGCTCCCTGGTTTCTGATCCACAGAAACTGTGAGATAATAAATGTTTGTTGTTTTTAGCTACAGTGTTTTGGGATAATTTTTTTACAGCAATCAATAACTAATGTACTCTCCAATTTCAATGCACAGAGGTAATCAATGTTAACAACAGGGTGCTTGTCATTCTGCCCTTTTTTCTACTCATATGCCATAATTATATGTATATGTGTACAAATACACACATATCATAAAATCCTATTTTTTCTTGCAAGAATAGGATTATATGATACATATTATTGAACAAATTGTGTTTAGTCCTGTAACAAGCCATGGACATCTCTCCATGTTAATAAGTGTATGTGGAACTTTTTATTTCTAAACTGCTAAACAATATTCTATCCACTTTGATGGACATTTAGGTTGATTATAATTTTTCTACATTGCAAATAATGGTGCATTAAATATTGTGGTAATAATATGGTTTGCAATTTTTGGTTCTAGTTTGCACATCATTGGACTTTGTTCTTTTTCTTATGGAAACTGATAATTAGTCCTTCACTGATTTTTTTTCCCAAAGAAAATATAAACAAAAAAATTTAGAGTTTAAAGAATTAAAAAATGAACTGCACTGTATTACTTATTTAATTCACTGCCAATGATACTACTATCTGTGAATTTGTTTTCTAGTTGTGTTTGGGGTGATTCTTTTGGCTGTAGTATCTTATAGGCACTCTCATGTGGAGACTGGGAAGTCTTTAGATGAATTTGCTAATCTTTTATATTGCAAAATCCTCTTAGAGTTCTTTGAGAGTTTCATTCTTTTTCATTGTGCCACTCCTTCCTCATTCTTTATGCTGTGTTAGATTTTCCTTCTTATTTTTAATATTAAATTATTTTAAAAGTTCTCATACAATTATATAATTTAGAATTTTTAAGGGATTATTAGCTTTTTGAAAGAAGAGTAATTAGAGAAATTTAATAAAGAAAGTAAATATTACTAAGTAGATGGTACAGAAGGTTTTGGTATAACTAATGTGATTAAAAAAATAAAGCATACCTTTTCATAGGAAAGTGGTATTTCAGTTTGGTAGCTATGCAAATATTAAAAATACCTAATTTCTTGGATGGAAGTCTTCACATGGTTTAGACTTAAGGGAAATATGGAGGGTAGAGCCAAGGGTAAATCACAGACAACAAGTTGTCTCAGCATAATTAATTTTGTTACAGGAAGTCCCTGTACTGCAGAGTTGAGACCTTTAAGACCTTAATACTGAAATTGTCCAAAGGGCTAGCCTATAGGTTACCTGTAGCATAGGAATGGGGATACACATAGTGAATGATATAGCAGTCCTTATTTTCAAAGATCTTGAAGGGTTTCCGGGACCCACAGAGTCACCATTTATCCTCTGGCTCTGATTCTTTACATCTTCCCCTCAGGATGCCTGGAGGAGCTGAGAAAATGAAGACAGTAAGCAAAGCATTTTGAGACAGTAAGCAAAGCATTTAGACTCATTAAAAAGTGAGCTGTCATTTCCTTGCCTTGTGGAATTTTTTTTTCTTACCTTTTATTGTGAAAAAATTACAGATTCACAAGAAGTTGCAAAGATAGTACAGAGTTGCTATAGTCTGAAAGTTTGTGTTCTCCGAATTCATATGTTGAAATCTTAACCCCCAAGATGATGGCATTAGGGGGTGGGGCCTTTGGGAGGTGATTAGGTCGTGGGGGCAGAGCCTTCATGAATAGGATTAATGCCCTTTTAAAAGAGTCCCCAGAGGCTGGGCGCGGTGGCTCACACCTGTAATCCCAGCACTTTGGGAGGCCGAGGCAGGTGGATCATGAGGTCAGGGGTTCGAGACTACCCTGACCAACATGGTGAATCCCCGTCTCTACTAAAAACACAAAAATTAGCTGGGCATGGTGGCGGGTGCCTGCAATCCCAGCTACTCAGGAGGCTGAGGCAGGAGAATTGCTTGAACCTGGGAGGCGGACGTTGCTGTGAGCCGAGATTGCACCATTGCACTCCAGCCTAGGCGACAGAGCGAGACTCCGTCTCAAAAAAAAAAAAAAAGAGTCCCCAGAAAGCTTGTTCACCCCTTCTGCCACATGAAAACGCAGTAAAGGTACCATCTACAGACCAGAAAGCAGACCCTCACTAGATGCCACATCTACTGTGCCTTGATTTTGGATTTGCCAGCCTCCAGAATGGTGAGAAATAAATAACTTTTGTTTATAAGCCTCCCAGTTTATGATATTTTGTTATAGAAGCCCAAATGGACTAAGACAAGAGTGTTCCTATGCATCCTTCATCCAGTTTCCCCCAATGTTTACATCTTATATATCTATAGTTCAATATCAAAACCAGGAAACTGACATTGGTACTATGTGTGTGTGTAGTTCTATTTCATCTATAGATAGTTTTATAGCCATTTTATCACATGTGTAGGTTCTTGTAACCACCACCAAAAGGAAGGTAAAGAACTCTTCCATCACCACAAGGACCTTCCTCTTGCTACCCCTATAGAAACATACGCACCTTCTCCTCCATCATCTCTAATAACTTTCCTGAGACAGTCAGTGAAATATTTAGTAACTGTCATTTCCTTGCCAAGTTGAATTTTTAAAACCTTTAGGGAAAATGATCCCTCCAGGATGGTATTACAGTTTGGGGGAAAAATATTTTTGCCATGATAAATGGTGATTTTAACCAGTGGAGAGCACAAAACTTCTACATGTTCAAAATCTTTTGTGCTTTGGAATTCTGAACATTTTAAATTGTAGAAAGGTAAAAAGGAATATATGCCATATATTATAAAACATCCCAGTGGGATCCAGGATAGCATCCTGTGATCAAATGTGTTAATATTTATGGAGCAAAACAAATGGATATTAGCACCAAGTACAATAAAATGACACTAAATAGACTCACTTCAACGTAGGTCATGTTTTTCAGCCAAATGAATTCAGACCAAGTCCAATTCTGCCATCAAATGAGTTCCAAAAAACAAGTCTGTGATTTCAGAACTTTTTAGATTTTAGAATTGTGGATAAGTAATTGTGGACTGCACTTGTTTTTAATTTTTTTTTTCTCAGGCTGGCGTGTAATGGCGTGACCTTGGCTCACCACAACCTCTGCCTCCCAGGTTCAAGCAACTCTCTTGCCTCAGCCTCCCAAGTAGCCGGGATTACAGGTGCGTGCCAGCACATCTGGCTAATTTTGTATTTTTAGTAGAGATGAGGTTTCTCCATGTTGGTCAGGTTGGTCTCGAACTCCTGACTTCAGGTGATCTGCCCGCCTTGGCCTCCTAAATTGCTGGGATTACAGGCGTGAGCCACTGCGCCTCGACTTTAAATTTTTATTGTGATAAAATATATACAACAAAATATTCCACTTGAATCACTTTTAAGTGTACAATTCCCTGGCATTAATTACATTCACAACTTTGTGCAGTCATTATCACTAATTATTTCCAGATGTTTCCATCTTTTCAAACAGAAATTCTGTAGCCATTAAACAATAACTCCCCATTATTGCCTATTCCAATCAATAGTCTCTGATAACTATTCTCCCCTCCTGTGTAGTCCTTGATAACTTCTAATCTATTTTTTTGCTCTATGAATATTTCATATAAGTGGAATAGATATTTCATATAAGTGGAATCATACAATGTGTATCTTTTTGTGTCTGGCTTATTTTACTTAGCATAAGCTTTTCCAGGTTCACCTGTATTGTAGCATGTGTCAGAACTTCATTCCTTTTTATGCTGAATAATATTGTACTTATGCGTTTTTGGCTGGGTGCGGTGGCTCACACCTGTAATCCCAGCAGTTTAGGAGGCCGAGGCAGATGGATCATTTGATGTCAGGAGTTCAAGACCAGCCTGGCTAACATGGTGAAACCCCATCTCTACTAAAAATACAAATAAATTAGCTGGGCATGGTGGCGCAACTACTGAAGTCCGAGCTACTCAAGGCTGAGGTAGGAGAATCGCTTGAACCTGGGAGGCGGAGGTTGCAGTGAGCTGAGATCGTGCCACTGCACTCCAGCCTGGGCGACAGAGGGAGACTCTGTCATAAATAAATAAATAAATGAATAAACTAAATTGTGAAGATACATTACTAAGAACCAGCATTTATTTCAAAATGGACATTCTTTTACAGTTCTGAGAATTGTATAAATCACAATTGAAGTAAAAGTAGAAGTGGATACATTTACAAGGGGTAATAGCATCTGAAAACCTATCTTTTATAAGTACTATGGCACACTGAAGTTAGTTAAATATTTCTGAGTGGTTGACTTAGAGACTTAAATAAAGAGGAAACCACTAATCTAGCCAATAATTCAGAAATGAAGCTATGTAGATTTTGTAATGGAAACAGCACTGAAACTTAATTTGCTTTTCCTGGATTTTTTCCCAGTTTTATTTTGTTTGAGAGGAAATGACATTTTTCTTAATACTAACCATTTTTTTTAACTAACAAAGACAATAATAAATAAATGTCAGAACTGTTTGTTGATTTAAAAATCTCGTGGATGGAAAACATGTGGATTTTTATAAGGTTACTTTGTACCCCAGATACATGAAAACTTTTCTGTTCATGAACTTCTTCAGAGAGTTTACACATCACAATATTTCAGTTTATAAAAATAATCTTGGTTCCATCCATTAATTTATTTCAAAATATTAATTTTGTTTTTGAAGTGGGGGAAATATCACCTGTGTACTTTTAGCTCCAAATAAAAATTGTGCTTGTAAATTATGGAAACATCATAATCTCCTTGATATTTTCTTCTGATAATATCTCATTTGGAAATATTTAGAGAAAAATTAGAAACTAAAACAAATTAAAAACCCTCCTTCCACAAAGAAACAGAACAAGTGAAAACCCTGAAACTATCTCATTATTCAGCCAATGTTCCAAATTAAATTAAATATGCAATGTGAGAAAGAAGGTGGGGAAATGTACTTGGAAGATGAATGAAATGACACTGAAAAATTTAAAGATGAAGTAAAATGGAAAATTCTTAATTGTTGATGTTGTTTCTGAATGTTCCTCAATAAGGGGTTACATAACTGTGTTTTTCTAGCCCTCTCTTCCTTCTTCTGATCTTTGAAGTGTGTCACTCTTTCATTTTGCCATTCAATAGTCTGACATGCAAAAGCTTTGTTCAGACAGTTTAATTTAATCACTGCCACTGGTTCAACAAGATGATAAAATCCTCTGTGCTGTACAACATCCAACATCCAGCTCACTGTTATCTGATACTGTTTGAAGCTTCTCTCATGAATGCATGCTGATAACACAAGAACTCCAAACATGTCATAAACAATATATTAATGCCCCAGTTGGAATTCCATTAGAATAAGAAATAGATGAAGTTTAGGCCATTCAAGTGGGCCAAGGTAATAAAATGTAATTTGGACTAATCTTCCCAAAGAATGTCCTGTGTTTGAAGCTGACAGTCTCCTATCACATGCAAAAGTAATTGCTTGTTGACTGCACTGCAGACTTTTGAATCATGGCCTTTGTACTTCATCCACCTTCCAGGTGTCTCAGCTAGAAGACAATCTGCCTCTTTGTTTGAACGGAAAGACACTAAATTATAAATAATAAAACAAGCAGTGGGTACTTTAATGAATATTGCTAATCGAGATTGGAATTTGTGGAAATCTGAGACAAAAGTAAAGTCAAAACACAACAGAATACTTACTCTTTGAAGTGTTAGTTTCCATAATAGTGTCTTTAAGTTTTGCTAATTTAAAAGATATGAAAATACCACAAATACTTAAGCATAGAATGCTGACTCAATTTAGAAAATTCAAAACTATTGGAGGAAAGATGCAATTATATTTTTACAAAAAAATCCTTTATAAAAGATCTATGAATTTTTTTTCTTTTTTTAAACTTTAACTCTGCCAACATTTTTGTCTTTTTTTATTATTTTTTTTAAATTTTATTATTATTATACTTTAAGTTTTAGGGTACATGTGCACAACATGCAGGTTTGTTACATATGTATACATGTGCCATGTTGGTGTGCTGCACCCATTAACTCGTCATTTAGCATTAGGTATATCTCCTAATGCTATCCCTCCCCCTACCCCACAACAGTCCCCGGAGTGTGTTGTTCCCCTTCCTGTGTCCATGTGTTCTCATTGTTCAATTCCCACCTATGAGTGAGAACATGCTGTGTTTGGTTTTTTTGTTCTTGCGATCGTTTGCTGAGAATGATGGTTTCCAGTTTCATCCATGTCCCTACAAAGGACATCAACTCATCATTTTTTATGGCTGCATAGTATTCCATGGTGTATATGTGCCACATTTTCTTAATCCAGTCTATCGTTGTTGGACATTTGGGTTGGTTCCAAGTCTTTGCTATTGTGAATAATGCCACAATAAACATACGTGTGCATGTGTCTTTATCGCAGCATGATTTATAATCCTTTGGGTATATACCCAGTAATGGGATGGCTGGGTCAAATGGTATTTCTAGTTCTAGATCCCTGAGGAATCGCCACACTGACTTCCACAATGGTTGAACTAGTTTACAGTCCCACCAACAGTGTAAAAGTGTTCCTATTTCTCCACATCCTCTCCAGCACCTGTTGTTTCCTGACTTTTTAATGATTGCCATTCTAACTGGTGTGAGATGGTATCTCATTGTGGTTTTGATTTGCATTTCTCTGATGGCCAGTGATGATGAGCATTTTCTCATGTGGTTTTTGGCTGCATAAATGGCTTCTTTTGAGAAGTGTCTGTTCATGTCCTTTGCCCACTTTTTGATGGGGTTGTTTGTTTTTTTCTTGTAAATTTGTTTGAGTTCATTGTAGATTCTGGATATTAGCCCTTTGTCAGATGAGTAGCTTGCAAAAATTTTCTCCCATTCTGTAGGTTGCCTGTTCACTGTATGGTAGTTTCCTTTGCTGTGCAGAAGCTCTTTAGTTTAATTAGATCCCATTTGTCAATTTTGGCTTTTGTTGCCATTGCTTTTGGTGTTTTAGACATGAAGTCCTTGCCCATGCCTATGTCCTGAATGGTATTGCCTAGGTTTTCTTCTAGGGTTTTTATGGTTTTAGGTCTAACATTTAAGTCTTTAATCCATCTTGAATTGATTTTTGTATAAGGTGTAAGGAAGGGATCCAGTTTCAGCTTTCCACATATGGCTAGTCAGTTTTCCCAGCACCATTTATTAAATAGGGAATCCTTTCCCCATTTCTTGTTTTTGTCAGGTTTGTCAAAGATCAGATAGTTGTAGATATGTGGCATTATTTCTGAGGGCTCTGTTCTGTTCCATTGGTCTATATCTCCATTTTGGTACCAGTACCACGCTGTTTTGGTTTTAGTATTAAAAAATATTATCTATGAGAGGATTGCTGGCCTGATTAACTTAAATATTACTTCTTGTAGAGACTATTGAGAGAACAAAAATCTTGCTTATAGCCACTGAACAGTAATACTATGTTAAAAAATAATTATACAGTTCTTACTCTGTCCAGGTTACTGTTCTAAGAGTTTTACTCTTTAAGCCTTAAAACAGCCCATTTTATTTACAGATGAGGCAAAAAGAAGCTGAGTAATTTGCTGCAGGTCCTATAGCTATTGGTGGAAATGGATTTAAACTCAGGCGGTCTGTTCCAGGGTGTGTACTCTGAAGAATTACGCTTCTATTGCACTCAGAAAGGGTCAGGTTTATGATACCATAAAAACCATTTTAGAAATTTGATTTTGGTGAACATTGAAAGTGGGGGATGGTTAATTTACATGATTGTCAGAGTGATATAATATGCAAATATGAGCATGTTCATTCTCTGTATAAATCTAATCAATGGTTCTTGTTAACAGAGCACGGAAGGATCCTCTGCAAATCCAATTTTCCCTTCTGCACTTATCCTGCATGCTCCTAATGCTCTGGCGACAACAATTATTTGCAGTCAATGGAATTCCTTTTTTTCTGACTTCAATGAGCTTTTCATTTATTTTGAAAAAGGTGAATATTATGTAACAGCCTCTGTATCTAGAAGAGATCTATGAAGAGAACAAAGACCTCTACCCTTATGGGGCTTATATTCTGCTGAAGGAAGATTGACTAGAAATGAGCATCATTGATAAGTAAATTACAGCATGTTAGAAGGAGGCTGGGTGCGGTGGCTCATGCCTGTAATTTCAGCACTTTGGGAGGCCGAGGTGGGCAGGTCATCTGAGGTCAGGAGTTTGAGAGCAGCCTGGCCAACATGGAGAAACCCCGTCTCTACTAAATTAGCTGGGAGTGGTGGCATGCAAAATTAGTGGTGGCATACAAAAATTAGCTGGGAGTGGTGGCATGCGCCTGTAATCCCAGCTACTTAGGAGGCTGAGGTGGGAGAATCGCTTGAACCTGAGGATTGGAAGTTACAGTGAGCTGAGATCACGCCACTACACTCCAGCCTGGGTGACAGAGTGAGACTCAGTCTTAAGAAAAAAAAAAGATAATAAGCACTATGATGAGGTTAAAGCAGGAATTGAGAATGTGAGGTGGTAGTTTGGTGGTAAAGGTGAGATGCAATTTCATATAGGGTATTTGGGGTAGGTGACATTTGAGTAAGACTTGAAGGAGAGGGAATTAGCCACGTGGGTATCTGGAAGAAAAATATTCCAGCAGAGAAACAGCCAGTGCACACACCCTGGTATGGGAATGTGCTTGTCCTGTCTTAGGAATAGCAAGGAGACCAGTGTGACTGGATAGAAATGAGTAGGATGAAGGAGTCTAAGAGATAATGGTGGCAGGGAAGGGAGAGAGGGAGGTTGAAGGGCTTAATCTTGAAAGTCTTCTAGACCATTGTAAAGGCTTCGGCTTTTAGTTTCAGTGAAATGGAGAGTCATTGCAGAGGACCACCATGATCTGACTTACATTTTGAAGTGATAATGCTGGATGCTATGTTGAGAAAGGACTATAGAGGGTGGCAAAACTAGAAGCAGCAAGGCTAGGAAGGCTTCAATTCCACATGCGAGATGATGGTAGCTTTGAACAGCAGTGGTGGTGAAAAGTTGTCAGATTGTGGATAAATTTTGAAGGCAGAAACAACCGTCTTTCTGGACAGTTTGGATAAAGGTATGAGAAAAGGAGAGGAGGCAAAAATGAGTCCAAGTCTTCTGTTCTGAGCAATTGGAAAGATGGAGTTGCTATTGACTGATGTGGGGAGGGTTTGGGGGAACAACAGGGGTTGTTTGGGCCATGTTAACTTTATGCATTCTGAAATGCCCCTTCCAACTTTTGCTGCCTGCCAGGCTGCTCCGAGTCTTTTAAAAATTGTCGCAGGTTTTCCTTGATCATTAATTACCTCCTTTTCGAGTAGAGTAATTTGTTTTCTTTTGGACCCAATAGCATACTATGTAAACCTCTATGAAGGCCTTTTTCACACTATTGCACTTGATAAACTTATCTGCCTTTCTGCTAGACTCTGATGTTTCAACTCTATCCCCAGTAGCCAGCACTATTCCTGGCATATAATAGAGGGCTCAATTACTATTTACAGAATTAATAAAAGAGTGAAGCCATTATATGCCCAACTAGTGATATTATAATTTGTAAAAATCAGAACATTGTACAGAAAACTAGGGCTTTAAGTAAGAAAGCCGCCTATGATGCATTCTTTTCCTACAAATTTCCAGGTAGCTGATTGATCGCAAACTCATACTTACAGTTTTATGGATCCACAATAGGTTCTACCAATGTTTAAGATCAGGAATTGATTCATCATTATAAAGCAAATCTTACAGTTTTCTCACATCCTTTAGCTCTATTTCCTGTTACCTCTTGTTATAGGTTGAAGTATGTTCTCCCAGATAGAAATGTTGAAGTCCTAATACTCAGTAGCTCAGAATATGACCTTATTCGGAAATAGGGTCTTTGCAGAGGTAATCAAAATGAGGTTATTAGGGTGGGTCCTAATCCTCTACGACTAAGGTCCTTAAAAAGGGGGAAATTTGGACTCGGAAAGAGATATTGCATAGAGAGAAGATGATGTGAAGAGGCACAAGGAGAAGATGCCTATATGACTGGAATAATGAGTTTACATGCCAAAGAATGTTAAGGATTGCCAGCAAACTCCAGAAAGTAGAGGAGGCAAGGAAAGATCTTCCCTAGACCCATCAGAAACAGAGCGTGCTGGGCTAACACCTTCGTTTCAGACTTCTAGCCTCCAGAACTGTGAGAAAATAAATTTCTATTGTTTTAAGGTAACTAGTTTTTCTTATTTTATTATGGCAGATCTAGGAAATTAATATTCCTTTTCTCTATTTCTTCCTAGTGGCAAATCAATGATCACATGACCACACAGTCTTGTACTACATTGAAGCAACATAGCATTGTGTTTAGGCACATGCCGTCTAGTTTCTGATGGCTTGAATTCAAATCCTGGCTCTAGGAATTACTGGCTATGTGACCTTAAGCAATTAACTTATGAGCCCCAATTTCCTGTACTGTAAAATAGAAATAATAATGATGATGTCTACCTCATGGCATTATCATGAGACTTAAATGAAATAGTGCATATCAAACATTTAAATTAGCTTTAAAGATTAGCTTTTAAAAGCCAGTTAAGATTCCTAGGTGCACAAACAAGAACTGTAAAATTCACTTGAGAATGTGAGATCAGTAATGGGGGTGCCACATGCACCAAGAAGTTTGAAAGTAAGATGCTGTGAATTCGGACTCCATTAAACAGACTAAACTCAGTAGTTTATGATGAAAATATTTTCTACTTATTTGTATTTTCCTTGGTCTGAAAGATTCCAGTAAAGCAAAAAAGGAATTAGAGCTTCATTAAAAAATGGCTTTATTGGCCGGGTGCGGTGGCTCACGCCTGTAATCCCAGCACTTTGGGAGGCTGAGGCGGGTGGATCACGAGGTCAGGAGATCGAGACCATCCTGGCTAACATGGTGAAATCTTGTCTCTACTAAAAATATAAAAATAAAATAAAATAAAATTAGCCAGGCAAGGTGGCGGGTGCCTGTAGTCCCAGCTACTCGGGAGGCTGAGGCAAGAGAAGGGCGTGAACCCAGGAGGCGGAGCTTGCAGTGAGCCGAGATTGCGCCACTACGTCCAGCCTGGGCGACAGAGCAAGACTGTCAAAAAAAAAAAAAAAAAAAAAAGTCTTTATTGAGATATAATTAGTATACAATACACTACATATATTTAAAGTTTACTACTGGAAAAGTTTTGACCTGTGGAGTCATCATCACAATCAAGATGATGATCATGTCAATCACACCCAAATATTACCTTATCCCCTTTTGTACTTCCTCCTCATACCTTTTCTCCCAAACTCTCCTACTGTCTTCAGCCCTGTCCCAGAAACTGCTGATCTACCTTCTGTTACTGTAGATTAGCTTGCATTTTCTAGAGTTTTATATAAATGGAATCACACACAGCATGTACTCTTTTTTTATCTGGGTTCTTTGACACAACATAATCATTTTGAGATTTATCCATGTCATTCTGTGCATCAGCAGTATATCCCTTTGTGGCTCGTTTGTATTGTATGAATATATTACCCTGTTGGGGGACATTTGGGTTGTTTTGAATTCTGAGCACTTTACTTAATCCATATGAATTCAAGTTTCCTCTATGGTAAAATAGAAATGATAATAATGACATATTTGCAATTACAAATGAAACTATGAACACTCATGTGCAAGTTTTTGTATAGACATAAGTTTTAATTTCTCTTTGGTAAATAGAAGGATACAATGGCTAGATCATATGGCAGGTGTCTATTTAACATTTTAACAGACTGCCAAACTGTATCTGAAGTGGTTGTACCATTTTCCACTCCTGTTGGCAGTGTATGAAAGTTCCAGTTACTCCACATTTTTGTTGACACTTGGTATGGTCTGTATTTAAAATTTTAGACATTCTAATAGGTATCTAGTGGTATCTCATTGTGGTTTTAGTTTGGAGTTCTCTAGAGACTAATAATAATTACCATCTTTTTATGTGCTTATTTGCAGTAAGTGTATCTTCTCTGGTGGATGTCTGTTCAAATCTTTTGCCCATTTAAAAATTACATTGTTTTCCATTTTTAAGAGTTTTTATATATCTAGAAATGAGTTCTTCTTTATCAAATTATGTTTTGCAAATATTTTCTCCAGATCAATGTTGATCCGTCTTTTCCTTCTCTTTACAGCATCTTTCAAAGAGCAGAAGATTTTAATATTAATGAAGTCTGATTTATCATTTTTATTTTTCTTTTACAGATCCTGCTTTTTGTGTCATATCTAAAAAATCTTTCCTTAAGCTAGGGTGACAGAGATTTTTCCCCCTAAATTTTCTTTTGGATATTTTATAGTTTTAGTTTTTACATTTTAGTTCTATGCTCCATTTTGAGTTAAAATTTTTTTTTAACATGGTGATGGAAAAGATTTACTAACTTGGATTTTCCCTTTTTTTGGAAGACTCCAATAAATCAAGAAGGGGCTAGATCTTCCTTTTTCTTTTAAGTCCTATTGTTCCATAGATGAGCCAACTCTAATTTTTTAAAATTAGTTTTTTTACCTAAGTTACTATTCTGCTTAACATTCCAGCTCTCTAAACATCATAGTTAATCTCACACTGTGGACAAACAGTATTTTCTCCAGAAAATGTGTGCCTCAGAGGAATTCTCATCATCTAAGGAACTCCTGGGCTGCAAGTTTGTGGGTTTAAGAGGCAACTTAACTGTTACTTTAATGTTTCTACTATAGCCTAAGTGGATTATCTGTGTCTTGAAAGGGTTAACATGCCTTTCTAAGAATTTGAATGATGACTAGAAAATAACAGGCACCAGGGAGAATCAGGTTCAGAATTATTTTCTTAAGATACGTTGTTTGTATTTTCTTGTGCAAACTAGTTACTGCAAATCTCGTTGGCGTATTGAGTAAACCTAAGTCCTTGATTCATTGCATTCTCATAATGGATGAACAGCAAAATTGGATTAGATGGAAAATAGTTCATATTTGCTCTGTATTTTTTTTTTTAATCTAAGACTTCACTTGGCTATCTCACTGCTCAGTTATTTTTTTCCTTACAAGCATCCCTTGAGTACAAGAAAACAGCTTTAGTGTTACTAATTTCAGCAATTTTGAGTTAATAGAATTAGTAGTGTTACATATAAAGTCATTACAATGGCACTGCTTTGCATATTTTTAGCTTCCTTGGACTTTATTTGCAACACCATTACTCTATTATATCTTAGGGAACAAACAAACTACTTAATATATGTGGCTTTGGTCCTCTGAAATTCATCGCATATATCAACGGCTATAAAAACGCTTTTCAGGAAGGAATTCCAAGAGATTAATTATTTCACGTTCTGTCTTAGGAAAGTGACCCAAAAAATCAATCACAATTGTTTTATAAATATGCCTACTATGCACCAAGTTTGTGCTTCCTCTTTTAACAAAATTTATCCATCCATTAAGTCATAGACAAGTAAACAAAAATGAATTGTCATTTTCATTATTTTATTAGTGTCATAGGAAATTATGGCATATTATTGACTTCTTCAAGAATATTTTACTTGAGAGGCACAGTTTAACATGCACAATTCAAGATCAATATTGAATATGCATTAATTTTTTTCAAAAATGCTGCAAGGCAATTTTTCTCTACAAATTCCCTGTTGGTATTTACAGTTCTATAAAAAATTATCAATGTGACCAAATGATAGTTTAGCTAAGCTTTAATTATAAAAAATGGATTGTTATTTGCATTGCTGCTTTGCATCCCAGATGTATTTACTAACCACTTAATTTATTTGTTCACCCTTTGCCAAAATAAGTCTAGAAAGTTGGAAGCATTTTTCTGACTTGATTCATTTCAATACCACCAATTTTTTTTTTCATTAGGGATCCCTAGTAATTGAGGGATTATTACTTTTTACCTCCAGTGGATATGCGAGCTTCATTGACACATTCTAAAACCTAGTCAATTGTGTAATATGAGCAGTCACAACTAGCGTATAGACTAAATCATTTGCAGAGGATTGTACTTTAAATATAAAGATCCTAACATTCCAAAATCATATTTTAGGTTTTATGACATTTAATGTTCAGTTAGTTAATTATGTCACATACCAAGTGCCCTTGTGACAGTAGTGGTAGGTGCTCATGCTATTGTTTTTGCTGTTAATGAGGACAATATGATAACATGGTAACTCAAGATAATATGGCATATCTATCTTTTAAAATTCCTTTATGCATGTTATCTATCCGGCTCAAGTTACTTTTTTTTTTTTTTTTTTTTTTTTTTTTTTTTGAGACGGAGTCTCGCTTTGTCGCCCAGGCTGGAGTGCGGTGGTGTGATCTCGGCTCACTGCAACTTCTGCCTCCCAGGTTCAAGCCATTCTCCTGGCTCACCCTCCCGAGTAGCTGGGACTACAGGTGCGTGCCTCCATGCCTGGCTAAGTTTTTGAATTTTTAGTAGAGACGGGGTTTCACTGTGTTAGCCAGGATGGTCTTGATCTCCCATCCTCCTGATCTGCCTGCCTCGGCCTCCCAAAGTGCTGGAATTACAGGCGTGAGCCACCATGCCCTGGGGGGCCTGCTCATTTTTCTCTGAAATATGTTCTTTAATTCTGCTTGGATGATTTTGAAATTCTTAAATAATTTTTAAGCCGGGTGCGGTGGCTTTGGGAGGCCCAGGTGGACAGATCACCTGAGGTTGGGAGTTCGAGACCAGCCTGACCAACATAGAGAAACCCTGTCTCTACTAAAAATACAAAATTAGCCAGGCATGGTGGCGCATGCCTGTAATCCCAGCTACTCCAGAGGCTGAGGCAGGAGAATTGCTTGAACCCGGGAGGCGGAGGTTGTGGTGAGCTGAGATCATGCCATTGCACTCTAGCCTGGGCAACAAGAGCGAAACTCTGTCTCAAAAAAAAAAAAAATAAAATAAAAACTCTCTTTTTTCTTTAATTCATTTTCTATATTGATTTTAGGTTTCTGAATCTTATTTAAAGGACTCTTATATTTCTAACTATAAGCACATTCTTTCCCTAAATAGGTAATGAGTTCTCCAAGGGCAGAGACCACTTTTTATTCTAATTTGTATCATCTACCATCTTATGTAGGACAACCACTCAATAAATTCCTGTTGAAGGGATATATTTCTTATTTTCTTTTTCTTTTAAAAAGTAGTTCATATCAATTTCTTAGTCTTTATCTTATTTTTCGGTTTCCAGATCTTCATCTTCTTTGAGGGACGTGAAATGGGAGAGCTCTGCAAGAGAGTCTGGACACGCAGCGCTGCCATGAGACATTGCACTTAGGTTGATTTTGTCAAGTTGAAAATTTCTTGAAATTCACCAATTACTTGTTCAATTATAATAAGGCTGACCCTATGTCTTGGTTTGCCCAGGGCAGGCCCAGATTATGTGTTGTCCTCATGTTCCATCTGATCAGCACTTCATTTCACTGTCATCTTCCTTATAATTCTCCCCAGGTGTTTTTGCAAAATTTAACTCTCTTATGTAAACTTTCTCAAACTCCTGGACTCAAGTGCTCTGCCCAACTCAGCCTCCCAAAGTGCTAGGATTACAGGTGTTAGCCACGGTGCCCTGGTTGCTCTTATGTAAACTTTCTACTTCCTTGTTTTCTGTGACTCTGTTCCTTTCATTTTAGTCTTCTCCCTGCTGCCTGCTCTTTTTCTGGAGGCTTCTTCGTCACTTCCTTAACGTTTGCATTCTATCAGCCGCCTTTTCCTTATTGGGCATCTGTTAGAATCTTGTGGGTTCAAGTCACTTCCTAGAAACATATATTTTCAGCACAGACTCTCTTCTGAAGTCTGGTCCTGCCACTTAGGCATCTCCACTGGACAGTCCCACAGAATATAACACGTCCGGATATGAAAGTCATCCTTCACTTGGAGCTTTTTTCTGCTGTTGTGTTTTCTATTCTGAATAAAGCCCTCAATAGTCCCAAGATCAACAAGACTTGAAACTTTGAGTGTTCTCTCTCACACACGATTTGTTACAAGGCCTATAGCTTCTATTTTTACACCATCTTGTAAATTTGATTATTCTCCCCATCTCCTTTAAGTCCTTATTATCGAACAATTTGATGTATTGCAATAGCCTCATAATTTCTAGTCTCTGGCTTCTCTCTTTTCTCTTCTATTAGATAGTTTTGCCAGAAAATATCTTTCTGAAACCTCCGTCAACTTTCCAATTCCTAAAGAGTTCCATTAACTTCTTAGCTTCTTATTCAAGGCCCTGTATAATGGGTTTCAAAGATCTTCCCTTTTTGCTTTCCAATCTTTCCCTTCACATACTCCATTTGCCAGCCCATCTGTTCTCTGGCTGTGCCCCAAGTGTCTAGCTTCCACCTTATTGCCCTTGGCCAGATTTATATTCCTTATGATCACTTGTTGAAATTTTTCTTCTACTTGAAGTGCTAACTCAAATTCTATTTGTACCATAATACCTTTTAGTGTCTTGCATTCCAGTTATTTATTTTTCATGCTAGATCATAAGATCTTCAAAGACAGGATCAGAGGCAGTATTTGTATACAATGCACGATCAGCAAGTCACCATAATTTTAAGTGATCCACAAAATAATAAAATTAATCGTAAGGTTTTAGTCCTCCTGAACCTCTATATACGAGCTCTATCAACTCAGCCAAATAGTCAAAAGCTTCAGTAATGTGAATATTGAGGCCGGAACAAGAAAGAAATCTCTTTACAAATCTATCTTCTTATATGTGTACTGTAGGAGAAGGGAGTTCATGGAGTATACTACACCAAGACATCATAGGATATGCAATCAGGATCAAATGCAATATGTGAGAATCTTTTATCTATCTCCCCTATAATTTTCTCATAGCTTAAATATGGGCTACTTACATTTTATCATTCTTACTAGTTTGGAAGTATAGGTATTAACATGAAAAACTTCATCTTCCCTTGAAATACTCATATAAGATGACTTTGAGTTTGAAAATAGCCTTCACATTCTGTTTTCACTAGCTGTGTGACATTAAATTAGTTACTTAATCTCAAAGTTTCTCAGTTTCTTCATCTGTAAAATGGAGATAATAATAATATCAATCTTGTAGAGTTGCTATGGGGAATATATGAACTACTTAATGTAAAACATGAAAACGGAGATTGTCACATAAAATAAGCTCAATACTTTTAGACCATGATTATTATTGTTTTCTCAGGTGACTATTAGATCCTTCGGGAAACTACAAGAGAAATGATAAAATTGAAAATGTTACATTTTAAGATTTAAGTTTTGAAATTTAAGTTTTTCTAATAAAAAGTTTAGGAGAAAATTTCAGTTTAATTCTCACTATAGGGCTTTAATTATCTGTAATATGTATCTGCTCATTCATATATGAGTGAAATAAATAATGAATCAAGAAATACAATATAAAATGGAATTGTAATATAACTCACAAATGGAATCTTTCATCAGGAAGTTGTTTAAAAGGGACAAAAAAGTCCTTTATTCAAAAATAAAAAGTTAACAACTTGGAAGACCAAGTTTTTAATAATGATAAAATGTGAATATTAAAATCTACATCATTCATTCATTCACTCATTCACTCACTCAGACACACTTATTGAGAGCTTGGTGCAAGCCAGACAGGCAGGTGCTGGGGTTAGAGACTAAGCATAATGTCAGGCCTCAAGTAGCTCTTTGGTTTCAGAGCAAAAGAGAAAATTGCACCAGTGGTTAGGGCACAGGGTAGTCCAGGCTACAACAGATGTGTGTAGGAAGCAGTGAGGGAGGCATTCATTCAACATGGGGAATTAAGAAAAGGGGATGAGGAAATAACATGCTAAGCACATGTCTGCCTAATACAGCTAAGTTGCTGAGTATACGGGAGGAAAGGTAGGAAAAGAGATTAGAGGCAGTGTACTGGGCCAAGACATTTAGGTCTTGAATGGAGACCAAGAAGCATAGTGGTTACGTGCATAAATCTGATATTCATGTGTCCAACTGAGATAAGTTCTTATGCCGGTTCTATCACCTACCAGCTGTGTAAAAACATGGGTTGGCTACTCAACCCAATCCTTAGTTTCCTCATTTGTAAAATGGGCATAATAGTAACAGCCACCTCATAGACTTTTTGTGAGAATTAAATGGAACAATCTATGTAGAAAGTGTTTAAGTGCCTGATAAAAAGTAAGTCTTCAATAAATATTAGTTATTACTATTGTTATAGCAGAGCAATTTGCAGAGCACACGCACAAGGTGTGATTCATTCCACCGATTTGTGCCAGCAAGTGCTTTATCATGGGAGGCTGCCAAGCTGAGAAAGGGAGAGCGAGGTGGGCCATCAGGTTAGAGGGAGTAGACAGTAAGCAAAGAAGTGTGAAAAGTTTGGGGTGTTCATGGAAGATGAGGAGTTTTCCATGGTAAGCACAAATGGCAATATTGTAGGAAATGAGGTAGAAAGGTAAACTCTGGAATGTTTTTAAGCAGGTGAATGGCTCAATTAGTTTTGAACTTTAGAAGGGTAACCTAGGTGACACTTAAAGGGATTGATATGGAGGGTAATGGAGGGCAAGAGATGTCTGCAAGCAGAGAAACCAATTAGGAGGCTATTATAACAGATCTTAGTATTATAATAGCAACTTAGAAATAAAGAAAATTTCTTAAAAATTAAAAATAAAGCATATTTTTTGAGACAGGGTCTTTCTCTTGGAGGTCAGTGGCAAGATCATAGCTCACTGCAGGCTTAAACTCCTTAGCTCAGGTGATCCTCCCACCTCAGCCTCCCAACTAGCTAGGACTACAGGCATGTACCTCCATGCCTGGCTAATTTTTAATTATTTGTAGCAATGGGGTCTTGCTATGTTATCCAGGTTTATAATAGCAATAGTTGAACTTAGCTCAGTAGTTAGAGAAGCTAAATAAATGTGTGGACTGATGTGATGTAGTGAGTGAATAAGGGAGAAATTGAAGATGGTGTTATCTAGCTTGTAAGAGAGTATTGTCAAGATAAACTAGGCTTTGTAGCAGAAACAAATCCTGAACTACTAGTGATTTAATATAACAGGGTTTATTTCTTCCTCATGCAAATTGCAAAGCAGGTCAGGTTACTCTTCTGAGCAGCTCTTCCCCAAGGAACCAGAGTTCTTCCATTGGTTGGCTCTACCATACCAACTGTGGCTTCTAAAAACTGCTGATGGGGAATGGCCACATAGGATCACATATCTGCTCCTGCTGCCTCCAGTTGAAATTATCACAGGTCTCTTGGAGCCACCCTACTCATAATTTTAAAATCCAGTGGCAGCAAGCAGTAGCCATATAAAAATATCCTAAAAGAAGAAATATATATATAATAGCTACTGAATCATTAAGATATGATTTTGAGAAAATATCATCTGTTTGGAAATTGTTTTTCAAAAAGTTAGCTTTTTAATTTATTTAGCTTATTCTTTTTCATTTCTAAATTAGCAATGTTTGATGGCTCTAAAAATGTCTTTAATATGTCTGAAACTTGTAATGTCTCCTCCCTGCCCCCTTTGGCTTGCTTAAAGTTCTATCCATGTACCTCAGAAGCTTCTCTCCCTCTGGACAGCTTTCTCATGGTTTCTTGAGTGTCAGGAAGGATTTTTGCTTGTTAGCTCTTGGCTTTAGTGGACTAAGTATTTTGAATTTTATATTGCGCATCTCTAGGGCAATAGACAGAAAGGAATATTCAGAGATCGTACAGTATAGAAATCATCTGGCAATTTAGTAAACGTTTATTAATTTAGAATAAATGAGAGAACAGCAAATCTGTCTTAATGTATAGTCTTAATGCAGAATATTCTAGCTGAAATGCGGTTTTAATATCTTACAGACACAGTACATATAATAAACTAGGCTACAAATGGATAATACATAAAATCATGTAAGTTAATGAAAAAATAGGTCTTTAATGCACTATATAGTAATGTATCAAAAATATGTCTTTCAATAATTTTTGAAGTACACTAAAAGTATTGTAAAATTTGTGAGCCTTTGGTTTTAAATATCTATTGCTAAGATATAGAAAGAAAGAAATTATTTTATAAATGTTGCTAAATTAGAATCACATGCTTCATATTAGAAACATCACAGATTACAAAGAAGTAGACATTTTTATTATATTTGGTCATTCTTTTGGTTACATTCAGGATATTAAGTTATGACTCATTTTGAGAAATCCAATGTCTAGTCCTTTTCATATTAAAATAATTCTGAAATAAGAAAGGGATTTTAAAATCAAAACAAACAGATGAATTATGAATAATGGATATGGCACAGATATTTTATTTCAGTCTTTTAGTGTAGACCATTGATGTCTGATGTTGGGGAGGGCACATAGATTACTATTAGCAAATATGAAGTGTGAAGGATTACCATGCCTTGATCCTTGTTTCTTTCATGTTCGACACTGTTTATTTCTATCATTGCAATCTTGTTTTGGTGAACTGTGGAACTACTATTGCTGTCTAGAGTTTCTATGGTATGGACTTATTCAACACCATACTTTTTTCATTCTTTTCTATATATTCAAGCTCTTGCCTAAGTGACCTTTACAGTACAATATCAACAGATAGAACCTGGGGGTTTCTGTGATTCCTTTAGGAAATTAACCAACAAGGATGGTGTCTATATGTACAAAATGATGGGTTATGTTGAGTCCTACTCCAGATAATTTAAGCCAAGCATATTACTCTGAAGTCTAATCTAAATGATCAAAATCAACTTCTTATAGTGATTTGATTCATCCATATTGTTCTATTCTTCTCTTAACACAAACCACCACTGTGGCTTTTGAAACAGTAATTTTTCAATCAGTCTTGGAAAATTAAGGTGAGTCATAAGAAATTGAAGGTTTTAATTGTTTTAACTAGAAAATGGCAACTTCATTTGGTTAAATACAATGCTTTAAATGAACAGAACATGGTAAATTTGTCTTCTGTACTGGACCAGTCAGTACCTTGACTTGAAACTCCCAAAGGTAGAGCCAAACTTAATTTCTATTCATTATTCTAATGGGACAGACAGCAATATTGGTTCTGTATTTCATCAAGACAACATTACAATGATAGCAGTAAATAGTGTACAGAATTAAAGAAACAAGGATCAAGGCATGGTCATCCTTCACACTTCATATTTGCTAATAGCAATCTACGTGCCCTCCCCAAAATTAATACTAAATTTAGGTAGGAGGGAATCTGTTAAGCAGGCTCACTCCTCTGTTCTACAAAAGCAAGTGGGTGTTAATCAGTTGTGGGCGGTGGGTCCTAGAGCAAACCCCTCATGGCCAGTCAGAGCTCATCTAGAAAGCGAGCCCAGGCAGTTCCAGCCTGATTCCTTTTAATGTCACAGTTCATTTGCAGAACCATAACTGGAATCAAGAATTAAAAAGCCTTGTATAAAAGTCAGTAACATTAAACCTTTAAGACTCATGTTTCATGTGTCATAAAAAGTCTATGAAAGGATTTTATATTCTGTACAGTGTTTTAGCACTTTCAATCACTTTTTTTCAACATAACTTTTGTGAACACTTTTATAGCCTCTAAATGAAAAACTAAACTATGTGTCATTCAAAAAAACGTTTTATGGATCACAGAATTTAATAAAAGTTCTGCACCATAACAAGCGCCTGATAAACCTTTATTAAAATTCATTAAAAATATTGAAAAATATTTTAACAGAAATTAGACCTCACGTTTTGGTAAACATGACAAATCACTCTTCAAAGAGTCTGCTTGTTTATCACATATGCAGATCCTTTAGCAGTGAAATAATGAAATATAGGAATAATAGTCTGCTATCCGACATTAGGAAAATATTTCTTTGTATCTGATAGGCATGATCCTCTTAGTTTTCTGTCTGCAAAAATCGTCAATAATTAGGAAATATGTAGTAGATTACTATATACAAATAAAAAGAAAACAATGGAAAATGTTTCTGAAAATATATAATATATAGCCTAGTGTTTTCTTATATTGGAACCACACCAGAGTGATTGTCCTATTGCAGTTCTCAGAGAGCAGAGGAGACTTGGTCTTGCTAATATATTTAGGAATGCATGCTCTTAGATACATTTTCTTTGTATAATTTTATTTTTCTATAGGATTGTATGTAGATAAAAGCTCTGAAACATTGATCAGTCAGTGTGCATAATTTTATTTTATATATCTATATATCTATTTATACATATAGATGTATAATTAAAGTACTCAAAAATCTAGAAGTCATATGGCTATATATGTCCATACATGTATTTACCTAAATATAGATATGTAGATATAGATACAAACACACACATACACACACAAGAAAACATTGAAGTTTTGGGAAGGAAGGTTATTTTGGAGTGTCGACGTTTTCAGGGTGTGTATGTGTGTGTGTTTTCTATAGATTTGGAAACCTCTAGTGGTAGGTAATCTTTGAGCTCATCTATTCTAGCCCCTTGAATTAATTATAGATTTCCACTCCAATATCCCCAGTAAAATGGCCAAGCACCCTCTATTTGTACACAACTCTCTCCTGGATCTCCGTCTCTGAGGCCCATCATTCCAGGCAAAAACATGTCTGTTAGAGATTCCCAGGACTAAAATTGTACCCAATTAAAAAGTTGATATAGTTGTAATTTTACCTAGCAGATGGAAGTTAAAACGTCATATTTCTTAGATGTTGGATAAGTTTTCTTGGTCTTTTTACAAGGTTAAAGATTTCTATTAGTGTATATATTTATAATTGCTTTGGTTTTTTATGCAATCTAGTTTATACTAAAATCTCTTTCAGTGGCCTTCAATAATTCTCATAACATCTTTTAATATCAGTGTGGCATGTATTAGGAGGAGAAAAGACCTGAAAAAGAGGCAATGTAGGGTGATTCACCCAGTTTCATTGTTTAAAAAGATGAAATAACTTTTGGGTGAGTTATTTGTAGACAAAACATTCAAGGTTCACAATGACTTCAGGTAGCATGAACCTAACCTATTTCTGCATTATGTTCTAAGTTTCAGTGTTAATGTCTGTTGTGTTGACAGCAGCCATAATTTATGCTTTTAATTATATATTTTTTGAGCTGTAAACTCATATTGTTTCTTTACAGTAATGAAGTCACTGTGTAGCAATGTCATTGTCGTAAAGTGAAGAGATATAATGAGAACATGATTGGAAAGAAATCACAGGCAGAGAATGATAGCATATTTAAAGGTGAATGGGAAAAGTTCTGTAAGTAAATACAAACAATATATGGAGATGTAAAGACAAAATGTGTATATCATTAAAACTTTACAAATACTACACATTATTTCTATACACTGTTATATCTGCTTTTTGATTTTTTTGTTGAAATCATAGCATCAAAAGAGTGGATCAATTTTGGATCAAGCTCAAGCCTTCAGGTACCAAAGAAAGATGGCTTCATCTTATTTTTAAAGAACTTCAGGAAAGAAGATTGCATGAGCTTTCTTGGTAAACCATTTATATATTTGTAGGAAATTCTCTTTCTCTTTTTGTTCTGGAGATGGAGTCTCACTCTGTCGTCCAGACTGGAGTGCAGTGGTGCAATCTCGATTCACTGCAACCTCCACCTCCCGGATTCAAGCGATTCTCCTGTCTCAGCCTCCCAGAAATTCTCTTTTAAGCCTGAAGTACTCATGCTGCATTTTCTCTCACTGAGCCTTTTTTCTTCTTTTCTTTGAAATGCTTAACAACGCCTGCTGATTTTACCTCCCCAATACCTCTCCAATCTGCTGTCTTCTATTGTTCTGACTTTTCAAAATTCCACTTCGGTTTGGTCTTCATATTGCTACAAGAAAAGTTGCCTTAAAATGTAACTCATACCATGTATTCCTTCGCTTAAAGTTCTCTGAAACTTACATGTTGCCTTTAGATAAAATTTAAACATCTTATACAGAGACCCCTCATAATCTGGCCCCTACTATATTCCTAGCAACTTAATATTTTGTTTTCCAGATTTTATTTTTCTTTACATAAGTAAAAACAGCTGGCATTTGCTGATACCTTACCATGTGCCAGGCACTCTGTTAAGCAATTTTACATCTTCTGGGCTTCCCTATGTGTGATAAGTAGTTATTGATATCCAACATAAAAGGAGACTGAGCTCACTTTTATTTTCTTTTGTCTTCGCAATATTTCTTGTCTGTCTACTCTCTGTCAAGAACCAGGGGTAAAATAGTGAGCAGCAGAAAACAAAATCCCTGCCCTGATGCCCACACCTTTAATCCCAGCACTTTGGGAGGCCAAGGTGGGCAGATCACCTGAGGTCGGGAGTTCGAGACCAACCTGACCAACATGGTGCTTACATTCTACTTTTGTTTCCAATCAAACACATTTGGTAATTACTGGTCTGCAAATGAATACAGAAATTTTCTCTGGGAGGAGGATGAAATTAAGGAATACAAATTTGCAGTGAAGGGATAGGGAGAGTGGTGGGTGGAAGGAGAGGGAAGGAAGAATCAGTGTAGTTCATTGATTCAATCTGAAAAAGATGGATATGGTTTGGCTGTGTCCTCACCTAGATCTCATCTTGAATTCCTATGTGTTGTGGGAGGGGCCTGGTGGGAGGTAATTGAATTATGGCAGCAAGTCTTTCCCATGCCGTACTCGTGATAGTGAATAAGTCTCATGACATCTGTTGGTTTTAAAAAGAGGAGTTCCCCTGCACAAGCTCTCTCTCTCTGTGCCTGCTGTCATCCACGTAAGACATGACTTGCTTCTCCTTGCCTTCTGCCATGATTGTGAGGCTTCCCCAGCCACATGGAAATGTAAGTCCAATAAACCTCTTTCTTTTGTAAATTGTCCAGTCTCAGGTATATTTTATCAGCAGCATGAAAATGGACTAATACAAACACTCAATCTGAAAAGGTCTACAAACCCAGAAAAGCAATGACTGTCACTCAACCTTCACTCCCCTGCATGTTCCATGCTCAAGTTCCCCAGAATTACATGCAGTTGTCCAAACTCCAAAGGCCTCTCAGGGCACCTTGACTTTGCTCCACACTGTGCATGAGTCCATCAAAACAGGCATCACAGGTCAAGTGTGGTAGCTCATGCCTGTAATTGCAAGGCTTTGGGAAGCTGAGATTGGAGGACTACTTGTGGCCAAGAGTTTGAGACCAGCCTGGACAATACAGCAAGACCCTGTCTCTACAAAAAAAAAAATAATTAGCTGAGAGTGGTGGCACACATCTGTAGTCCTGGCTACTCAGGAGGCTGAAGTGGGAAGATTACTTGAGCCCAAAAGGTTGAGGCTGCAGTGAGCCATGATTATGCCACTGCACTCTAGCCTGGGTGACAGAGCAAGACCGTGACTCAAGAAAACCGAAACCAACCAAACAAACGAAACCCCCATGACAAAACAAAATAAGACAAAACAAAAACAGGTATCATAGAGTGCTCTATCACCAAAGTTTTCTAAGCCTATGTGTACTAATGGGGTGATAGGAGCATTAAACCAACCCCAAATCCCTAATAACCTCCATACAGGCTCAACAGTTGTGGAGATTTTCCAGGTAAGTCTGACATATGCTCATGTTCAGTAACCTCCCATCTGATCTCAGCCACGTCTGTTGCTCATACCCCTATTTGACACTCATTTGAGGCCCCACTGGTACTATTGTGAGAATGCAGTGAGTATTGTTTCCTAAACCTCCCTAAGCTGTAAGCCCTTAAGACCTAAAAGTGGTTTAGGTCTTTGGAACCTTCACCATGGGAGCTGAAGCAAGGCCCCCCCAGGTTCCCCTTCTGCATGACATGGACCTCTGTTCACCAAAGCGGCGTGGCTGGTGCTGTGGCGGGTCATGGAATGCCTTCTGGAGACGGGGCTTTCTGCTTTTGCCTGCAGCACAAGATCAGGGATTAGATTATGGCCTCCTTGTTGCTCTTCCCAGCTTCTCCCCCACCCACCATCTCCCCTCACCTCTAAGCTAAACCCTCAAGCCAATTCCCCAGGCTGCCTGTCCACCCACTGACTACCTATACTCAGATGTGTCCACATCCCAGTTCAGAGTAGACCGCATGACCCCACCTACAGCTGTACCTTTTCTGCCAGCTTGTCTGTTCCTCCTAACAGACTGTAGACTCCTTGAGGGAAGAGGAGTATGCATTTCTTTTCTGAATCCCACATTGCACTGCAGCTGTCTGCCTTTGTCCTCTTTCTTTTCTTTCCCTTCTTCTGGTTTCTTTACCCAGATGTGATGGTTACTTTTGTATAAGCTTAGCTAGGTCATGGCAGGCAGATATTTGGTCGAACATCAGTCTAGGTGTTACTGTGAAGGTATTTTTTTTACATGAAATTAACACATAAATCAATAGACTTTACTAAAGCAGACTACCCTGCATCATATGGTGGGCCTTGTCCAATCAGTTGAAGGCCCTAAGAAAAAAAGCCTGAGGTCACTGGAGAAAGAAGCAATTCTGCCTCCAGATTGCCTTTGGATTCAAGCTGCATCAGCTTTTCCCTGGGTTTCTGGTCTGCTGGCCTACCCTGTAGAATTCAGACCTGACAGTCTCCATAATCGTATGAGTTAATTCCTTCATTTCTCTCTCTCTCTCTGTATCTCTCTTTTTCTGTCTCTCCACACATATCCTATTGGTTCTTTTCCTTTAGAGAACCCTTACTGATATAGCAGACTCCTTTTCGTGACCTATCTTTTAAAAATAGTCTGAACTGGCCAGGTGTGGTGGCTCACGCCTGTAATCCCAGTACTTTGGGAGGCCGAGGCAGGTGGATCAGCTGAGGTCAGGAGTTCGAGACCAGCCTGACCAACATGGAGAAACCCCATCTCTACTAAAATACAAAATTAGCCAGGCGTGGTGGCGCATGCCTGTAATCCCAGCTACTTGGGAGACTGAGGCAGGAGAATCTCTTGAATCCGGGAGGTGGAGGTTACTGTGAGCCGAGATCATGCCATTGCACTCCAGCCTGGGCAACAAGAGCAAAACTCCATCTCAAAAAAAAAAAAAAAAAAAGTCTGAACTATGAAAATTTAATCCCCTACATTCTTCCTTCTGTTCTCTGTCCCACCTACCTCTTCCCCCTTTCAGCCTCGGCAAAAGTTTTTGTACTTTAGCTATTAACTCGAGAAAACTAATTTTTACCCTAAACAAAAAACATCTTCCTCGTAAGAAAGTGATGCAAGAATTAAACAGTCACAATGAATAGTGTAGACTTGGCTCCAGATGGCTTGGATTTGAACACTGGCTCTAATGAATGAGTGTGTGCTCTGTGTCCAGGGGTGAATTATTGAGCTCCCCTGTTTTTCAGTTTCCTCATCTGTGAGCGAGGATAATAATAATTTCTATCTCACAGAATTGTTATGAGGATTGGATGAGTTTACAGTTGTAAGGCACTTAGAGCAGTGCCTGAAAGGTAGTAACGCTAACAACAAATGTCTGTGACATGAATGGTAATTTTATAGCCCCCATTATGAGCTATTTAACTATGGCTGATGACCAGACTGGATTTGATAGTAACCATTCATTCTTTAATAGCATATTCCCAGAACAATGGAAATGAACAAAATTATTTATATACCTTTTGTTTCTGACTATAACCATCATATATTTTTATCTGTAGAGAAGACAGAAAAGACAGAGACATAGGGAGGAAATCAAAATGTCTGTAATCCAAATCTACAGACCAGGGACCTGCAAGCTTTTTTGAGGCCAGATAGTATTTTAGGCTTGGTAGGCCATATGGTCTCGGCTGCAACGATTCAGCTCTGTGGTTGTGTGAAAGCATTTACATGAATGGGCTGTCTTTCAATAAAACTTTATGCACAAAAACAGACATTGGGTCAGATTTGGTGCCTTGGGCCATAGTTTGCTGACCCTCGCTTCATAACTATTGCTCACACATTAGTGTCATTCTCGTGTATCTTTTTTCCATGCACAACCATATATGTAAAAATTGTAAATACAAATTCCAATCCTGCCTTTTCACTGAATATTTCCATTACAGTATAAATAACTGATTAATAACTTCAAACATATTTGGTTTTGATTCCTGCTTAATTCCCTAGGATAGATGAAGAGCACTAATGTGAGTTTTCTCTGAGAGCACTTGGATCCATGATAGGAAGAGGGAGGACAGGTTGCAGTCTCATGGGGATGTCATTGTGGGCAGGGCTCCCTTTGCCCAGAGGCTTACAAATGGCTAGCCATGTCCTGCTGTCTGCCCCAGCACTGTGGCCTGGCTACCTGTCAGCACTGAGGATTGCTCATCAAGGGTTGGACATCCCCGGGGGCAGGATGCCTGCCCCACTGAGGTGGGATTGGGTTCCCTAGTAGAGGGACATTTAAGGTAGCAGATCTGCCATATGGTCATCAGAGCAGAAAGCATGCTGCTAGGGGGTCCCTGTGACAATACTGACTAGCAATAAGTCCAGCTGATTGTGTGGAGTATGGTCTAGGTAGGGTTCTGAGATCAACCATAGCTGGGGCTCCTCCCCTCAGTAACCTTCACTTCTTTCTAGTCTTTGCTCAGATTACACTTTTTCGGTTGACTCTACCCTTAATCATTCTATTTGAAGTAGCCAGACACCTATGCCACCTCCCCTGCAAATACAAATAATTTCTCCATACCTCTTACCAACATCTGGCATGCTGGCTATTCAATTATTTGCTTGTTAATTGTGTGCGTCTCCTCATCAGAATATCAGCTCCACGAGGGCAGGAGTTTTTGCCTGTTTTCTTCACTGTCAGGCACAAATCAAGCACTCAATAATCCTTTGTTGAATGAAAGAATGAATGGGTCTTACTGACAAATTGCCTAGCAGATACCTACTACTAAATCATTTTCCAGAAACGCAAAGAAATGTACACTTCTACCAGCAGAGTATGAGCACGTCCCTCTTACTACAGCTTCATGAGCATTATGTGTTATGGTCTAAAACATTTTTGGGGGGGTCAACGTACTTTAAATTGCCTTCCTGTGATTACTGTACGTTTCTTTTCCTTAAATTGCTCCTTTGTTCTTTGCCCATTTTGAACAAATTAATTAAAACACTGAAAGGTTCACTCTTGATCTCTTTACTTCCTTCAGTTTGTCTAATGAGCTTTACGCTGGGTTTGTTTGGAGCAAGAAAACAGGTGTTCAGCTGTTTGTTGGGGGAGTTCATGCCAACACATTTGCCCCAGCTCAGAAAGTCCATTTTAGATTTGGCAATAAAGATTATGAATATTTTGGCTAACTTTATGTATATGCACTAAAAAGGGTGGGATTTTGGCAATTTTCCAGAACTTTCAAATACTAAAACTATGCTGGTTTCAATTTTTTTTTTTTTTTTTTTTTTTTTTACTTATGGGGTGCTTGTTAATGATCTTGACAACATTTCCACTTCATTTTGTGACTATTGACTGATACCATGTGTACATGCTAACAAAACCATTATCGAATATAATGGAATAAATGAAACTGGTTGTTAAAGTGGTCACGGTCTTTCCCTAAGCGTATTTAAGTTTAAAGCACACATATTATTTAAATTGATAAATATATTCAGTGGTTTCTCGAATACAGTTTTAATCCCTATCTAAAAACTTATTGCCAAACCAGAGGGTATATGTAAAATAACCACTTACAATGTATATTTTAAGGACATACCTTCAATAACATTAAAAATAACATATCAGAGTCCTCTCTGGATCCACTCTAGAAATTAAAGCTTGCAAATAGCGTTATAAAAGAAATAAATATTTTTATTTTAATAGCAACTATCAAATTTCTATAACTCAGATAGCTATATCATTTTTATAATAGCTCACTCACCCATCCATGCTTAAATTTCCATGCCTGTTAAATTTTTCCTTAAGGATAATCAAATAAGGCTCTTTGCCTCTGAATTATACGTTATTCTGTAAGTAATTAAAACCATTTTATCATCTATCTCAGATTGTTATTTATTTATTTTTCTTTTCGCATATCAGGAGATAATTTTAGTTAAGTATTAATGTGTTTTTCTTTGTTTAACCACAAAACAGTCATTTGGAAAGCTATTTCTAACCTGAGCATTACTTTTAAAGTGACTTGTACACATGCCAGTTTTTCTGCATGTTTTGACAAATGACACATTTCCTTTGGTGCTTCCTTGTGGGTAACAGTGTGTGAGGATGTGGTGTTGGAAAAATTTATTACAGTTATTTTGTAGTTGATATTAAAGAATGTGATGTATTATACCAGGTGTCTGACCTTTAAAGATCTTAGGACCTAATTCATTACAACATAAAATTTACATATTATTCAACTTTGCTGCAGAGCTTTTATGAACAAGTCACGGTGTGTATGTATATCAGGGTGGAAAAGAAAAAGTCAAAGCTCAGGCAAGGAATTGAGGTCTGAACCCTAAGTTTGGATCTGTTTGTGGTGCTTCTGTGGATTTAAGTGAGAATCAGGTAAATACCTAATGGTCTGAATTGAATCAGGGGAAGGAAAGGCAATGAATACAAAGTGAAAATTTTGTGAACTAGTTAAGTATGTATTTTTATATACACCTAACCCGGTGTGCTTTAATCTGTAGTGCAATGTAAACTACATCTCAGACAGACAGGAGAAAGACATGGTCCCATATTGTATCTTTAAGTAGTTAAGTGTGTTATACAGCCAACAAAATAATACTAACAGCGATTTTCACATTTAATTTAAAAATATAAGATGAGAAGTTAAAATAAAAAGTTACCAGGAAATGCTAAAAAAACTGCATTTGAAATAGCATATATATAAATATATAAACAGTTTTTAAAAGAACTAAAATTTGCTACACACTGTAGCAAATTAGATCTGAACGTTAAAAGATTATGTGCTATTGGAAATCAGACAAGGCTATTTTAATTCATTTAAATATGTTCAATACTTCCTTTTCAATAGCTGCTATAATATTCTTTTTCTCATAATTTACTTTCACCTTATTTGAGGTTGGGATCAAATAAATATCTATTAAACAAAAAAGCCTACTTTAAAAATGCATAATGATATTCTACATGATGGCAGAAGAAATGTCCATTTGTAAGGTTTTGGTCCACTATGATTTCATATCACTCAAGGATCCACAAAGCTCTGATTGGTAATAGTATCTTTCCCTGAGGAGTCCACAATATTATGGCAGAAAAATAAGTCTAAATCTTTCTTTATATAGAGACTATAAAACAACTTGAGTTAATGCAAACGGGTTATTAATATCAATATAATCCAAACACTGTTTAAAGATTCAGTTTGCTATCAAAGATAATGTTTCCTTATTCTGCAGTTTAATTAGCAAGGAGGAAGCATTTTATCTCAAATACTGATTTTCTAAATTAGTTTGCTGGAAGGTATAGAAATATGCTTGAAGTTTTTTTGGATTTTACTAATTTTTAATAAATGTGTGGAGGCAATTGAAACAGGACAAAAATTTAAAAGCCATAATTATCGTAAGGATAAGTTGTTTCTAGCAAATGCAAACCAATCACTCGGACTAATGGCACACTAAGAGGAAGTGCTGTGTATTCGCAGTAGAGGGTGCTGTCTTCTAGTTCTATCACAAGCTAAAATAGAAGGTCACTCAGTCTATTGATAAATCACACTGCCGTGATTCCTAACTGACAGCTCAAACTAACATCAAGCTGGATGAGGGAGAACAAAAGGCCATCAAGCAGCCATTTTCTTGACACTTTTATTCAATCACCAGCAGATTGCTTACGACAGCAATAGCAGCTGTTTTGTCTTCATCTTTCCACATTTGATAAAAGGTGTCAACTCAAATTTTTGTAAATAATTCACTTACCCCTACTGCACACACGAGCACTGCTCAGCATATGTATTTTGTGTGAACAGATCACTGAGGCAGGTCAGAGCTCAATGATACCAGCTGAAGGTCATCTATGATCTAAAAGGAAGCCTCGATAAAACTACACAGTCCCTCAAGGTCAGAGATAAAACTACGTGTAGATATTTGTGATGGGAACAAAAGGTTAAACAATAGGGAGTAAAAGTATGAAAATGCTTCCTTTAATAGACGAATGCTTTTCTATGTTTAAGAAACCTCATTCATAGCTCCTTGGTTGGTTATCGACATAGGGTGCTTGTAAACCCACCTAAGAGATTAAAAATCTAAGTTGTTCTTTCAAAAGTTTGAAAAAAATATTATTTGTAGCATGCTATTCATCATGACTGTACAGCAGCCCGAGCTGCAATTCGTTTCTATGTTCTTTTTAAAAGAATCATAAAAAGAGTGTCAAAAATTAATACAGTTAGGTAGAATTTCATTTATCTAGTTCATTTAAAATTCTACCCTGAAATGCATTTAGGCTTGAGAGCTGAGAAAAAAAAATAGAGAAAGAAGGTGTTTTATATCATAAGAGCCTTCATTTGCTTTAAGGGCTTAGAGAAACTAATAGAGAAATCCTT